>NC_000022.11:36891382-37042897 GCF_000001405.40 Homo sapiens | reverse complement strand
ACTATGGGAGGCTGAGGTGGGCGGATCACTTGAGATCAGGAGTTGGAGACCAGCCTGGCCAATATGGTGAAACCCTGTCTCTACTAAAAATACAAAAAGTAGCCAGGCCTGGTGGCGCCTGTAATCCCAGCACGAGAATTGCTTTAACCCGGGAGGTGGAGGTTGCAGTGACTGAGATCGGGCCACTGCACTCCAGCCTGGGCAACAGAGAGAGACTCCATCTCAAAAAAAAAAAAAAGAAAGTGGGGTCAGTGAGCAGCCCTAGCTGAAACTAAATCAGAAAAAACTGCATTGAAATAACAACAAAACATTTCGCTTTGAAAATAATTTTAGGCTTAGAGAAAAGTTGCAAACATTATAGTAAAAAATCCCGTAGAGCCTTTACCAGACGCACCAAGTGTTCACACAGTCTTTCCTTTGTTCTCTCCCCACCTTCTTTGTTACTTTTCTGAACTGTTTTTGAAAGTAAACTACAGGCTGGGCATGGTGGCTCATGCCTGTAATCCCAGGACTTTGGGAGGCTGAGGCCGACGGATCACTTGAGGTCAGGACTTCGAGACCAGCCTGGCCCGCATGATAAAACCCCATTTCTACTAAACATACAAAAATTAGCCGAGCGTGGTGGCACATGCCTGTAATCCCAGCTACTCAGGAGGCTGAGGCAGGAGAATTGTTTGAACCCGGGAGGTGGAGGTTGCAGTGAGCCAAGATTGCACCACTGTACTCCAGCCTGGGCGACAGAGCGAGACTCCATCTCAAAAAAAATAAAAATTAAAAATAAATAAATATGAAAGTAAACTGCAAAATTAATGACTTTTCATTCCTAAACTCTTCAGCATGATTTCTGAAAAACAAGGACATTCTCTCCATAACCACAGGACAATGGTCAAAGTCGGGAAATTAATACTGTTACATACCATAGCTTATCTACAGATTTCTTCCAGTCTCCATTTGTCCCACTAATGTCCTTTATAGAAAAAGAAAGGAAAAAACTTTGCTAAAAGCCTCTGGGAGCCCATCTAGGACAATTGCATTCCCTTGTCATTTCTCTTTAGTTCTCCTTTGATCTGGGACAGTTTCTCTTGCTTTCATTTTTGGAGTATAGGTGATTTTTTTTTTTTTTTAGTAGAATTACCCTCAGTGTGGGTTTGCCTGATATTTCCTCATGATTGGATTCAGCGTATGCATTTTTGGCAGGACTCTCATAGAAATGAGGTTGTGTTCTTGCCAGTGCATCAGGTCTTGAAGGAATCTGATGTCCATGACTCCCATTACTGGTGAGATCAGGGCTGATCATTTTGTGCAGGTGGTGTCTGCCAGGTCTCTGAGCTGTACAGTTACTCCTTTCCCCCATCGATTTTTCTTTTTTTTTTTTTTTTGAGATGGAGGCTGGAGTGCAGTGGTGCGATCTCGGCTCATCACAACCTCTGCCTCCCGGGTTCAAGCGATTCTCCTGCCTCAGCCTCCTGAGTAGCTGGGACTACAGGCACGCGCCACCATGCCCTGCTAGTTTTTGTATTTTTAGTAGAGTTGGGCTTTCACCATGTTGGCCAGGCTGGTCTCAAACTTCTGACCTTGTGTTCCGCTCCGCCTCGGCCTCCCAAAGCACTGAGATTACAAGCATGAGCCACCATGCCCAGCCTGTGTCCTTTTTTAAAAACCGGTTCTTAAACACTGAATCTTTTTAAACATTGTAGTAAAATACACATAAAATGTACCATTTTAACCATTTTTAAGTGTCCAGTTTAGTGACATTACATGCATTCGCATTGTTGTGATTCTATCACCAGCTTCCATCCACAGAACTCTTTTCATCTTGCAAAACTGAAACTCTCTACTCATTAAACAGCAGGTCTCTATTCTCCTCTCCCAACTGGCTCCTGTATCCTTCTGACTCATCCCCATTATCATTTGAGCACTTCCTTCCTTTCTGGCCCAGCAAAACAGTCTGGGCTCGTATTATACTTTTCCTGCCCCGGCAGCTCCAGTTCCTTTTGATGGATAATGGTATTTAAAACCAACACCAGGCTGGGTGTGGTGGCTCACGCCTATAATCCCAGCACTTTGGGAGGCCGAGGCAGGTGGATCACTTGAGGTCAGGAGTTTGACACCAATATGGTGAAACCCTGTCTTTACTAAAAATACAAAAATTAGCCAGGCATGGTGTCAGGCACCTGTAATCCCAGCTACTCTGGAGACTGAGGCAGGAGAATCGCTTGAACCTGAGAATTGGAGGTTGCAGTGAGCCGAGATCGTGCCATTGCACTTCAGCTTGGGCGACAGAGCAGGACTCCGTCTCAAAAAAAGAAAAGATAAAACCAACACCTGAGCATTTGGTGGCCTCATTGCACTAGGATGTCACTGCTTTCAGGAAATCTCAAGGAACAGAGCTAGAGCTGGGAAACACGTGCACACACACACACACACACACACACACACACACACACTTGTTTCTGCACCTGTCTATAGTAGAAATCCTGGGTTCACGCTGATATCTCCAACTTCAGTCCAGCACCACAGGCTTCATTTAAGTCTTCTCCCTTTCCATATTTGTTTGTCTTTTCTCCAATAGGGAAACAGTTTGTTCCCAGTATCTTTAATACATTTCCTTACTTATTTAGCCAGTCCTAGTTTTATAATTGGTAACCTATAACATTGTGAAAAACAAACCTATTAACAAGAGTTCAATATTTGTTATCGGAAGTTTTTTTGTTTATTTTGTATTTTGCCTGAGTATGTATAGTCCAAACAGCCAAAATATCGCATTCAAGAGTTACTTGGAGCTGGGTGTGGTGGCACGCACCTGTAGTTCCAGCTACTTGGGAGGCTGAGGCAAGAGGATTGCTTGAGCCCAGGGATTCGAGGCTGCAGTGAGCCATGATCACACCACTGCACTCCAGCCTGCATGACACAACGAGACCCTGTCTCTTAAACAAAAAAGAAGTCCATCTTTGCCCCAGTGGTTTGAGATGCCTTTATCATACACTAAGTTTCCTGGAGTATTTGAGCCTATTTCTGGACTCACTATTCTAGTCCATTGGTCTGTCTATTCATGCACAAGCCACACACTGTTTTAATTACAGAGAGTCTTTAGAGTATTCTTGTAGGGTCAGACCCTTTGTAGCTTTTTCTCTTCAAAGTTTTCCTGCTATTCTTGCATGCTTGATTTTCCATGTGAACTTGGGTCAGCATTTTTAGCCCAATAAAGAAGCATATTGATATTTTTATTGTGGATGGGTCAAATGTTTAAATTATCTTAGGGAGAACTGACATTTTTATGATGTTGAGTTGTCCTATTCAAGGACGAGGGATGTCTTCCATTTGTTCAAACCTACTTTTGAGTCTTTTAGGAGGTTATTTTAAAGCTATCCTAAATAGGCTTTGCGCATTTCTTGTTAAGTTGCTTTTTCTGTCCTTTTGAATTTTTTTTGTTGCTATTGTAACTGAGGTTTTTCTCTACCATTAGAGTCTCTCTCTCTTTCTCTTTCTATTTTATAAAAAAGTAGAGACAGAGTCCCCCTCGCCCGTTGCCCAGGTTGGTCTTGAACTCATGGGCTCAAGCGATCCTCTCATGTTCCACCCACCTCGGCCTTCCAAAGTGTTGGAATTAATTACAGGTGTGAACCTCTGCACTTGGGCTACCATTATATTCTCTAACTGGCTATTGTTTGAGTATATGAAATCTACTGATTTCTGTGTGTTAGTTGTTTTTTTTTTTTTTTGAGATGGAGTCTGACTGTCACCCAGGCTGGAGTGCAGTGGCATGATCTTGGCTCACTGCAACCTCCACTTCCTGGGTTCAAGAGAGTCCTGTGCCTCAGCCTCCTGAGTAGCTGGGACTACAGGTGCATGCCACCACACCTGACTAATTTTTGTATTTTTGGTAGAGACGGGGTTTCGCCATGTTGGCCAGGCTGGTCTTGAACTCCTGACCTCAAGTGATCCGCCCACCTTGGCCTTGCAAAGTGCTGGGATTACAGGCCTGAGCCAGTGTGCCCAGCCTGATTTCCATATGTTAATTGTATACCTCATTGATTTTTTTTTTATTGTTTGAGTAACTTTTATTATTAATTCTCTGGGGTTTTTCAGGTGTACTATCATATTATCTGAAAACAAAATGCTATGGACAAAAAAGAGAGAAGCAATATGTACAATATATACACATATATATGTGCTTTCTTTTAGCTGCACAAGTCATCTCTGATGATACACAAGAAACTGACATAGTGTTTGCCTGGGAGAAAGGAATTGACTCACTGGGGCTGCTCTGGGAGGGAGGCTCCTGTGAATCCTTTGGTACCTTTTCAGATTTATTCAGAGTACAGGTGTTGTCTCCTCAAACAATAATATATATTTTGAGACAGTGTCTAGCTCTGACGCCCAGGCTGCAGTGCAGTGGTGTGATCTCAGCTCACTGCAACCTCCGCCTCCTGGGTTCAAGCGATTCTCCTGCCTCAGCCTCCCAAGTAGCTGGGATTACAGGTGTGCGCCACCACGCCCGGCTAATTTTTGTATTTTTAGTAGAGGGGGGTTTCACTGTGTTGGCCAGGCTGGTCTTGAACTCCTGACCTCATGATCCACCTGCCTCGGCCTCCAAAAGTGCTGGGATTACAAGCGTGAGCCATCGCATCTGGCCAATAATTTATTTTTTTAAAACCAGTTATTTAGAAATCATGAATTCACAGCTTTCTCTAATTGCCTATTCTGCTATTTTATTTTTGGGTCTTTAATAAATATTTCTTATGGCCAATTTTTTTTTAAAGGCAGCAGAATCGGTTGGAACATAAATGATTGAGTGTGATGATAAATCAGAGCCCAGTTCCTGCAACTCCCATTTGGACTCTGCAGTCCTCGAACGGCAAGCGGGTGACTTAGTGTAATGATACTCAGCCTCACTTTCTATTGCAATCGTTTCCCCAACGCTGAATCTGCCAGCCAGCCTAACGTATTCGCACCTCCTGTGCAATGGCAAGGCCAGGACAGCTGCAGCCTCTGGGGCTTGCCCCCTCCTCCCTTGGCTCCTGGCGGCTTCCCACCCCACCCCTGCTCCCAGGCTCTGTCTCCCGCTCTCCTTCCTGTTTCCACCCTCCAGGGCTGCACTGGAAGGACCTCAGTTCCAAAACCTCTTTCTATTCGCCTCAGGTTGACCATCCTGCCCTATTTCCGACCCCAGGGGCCCAAGCCCCATGCCAAGCGCCTCAGCTGACCACTGGCCGAACACTGGCGAAGCCTCCATGCAGGGTCTTGCAGTCCTCCCTGCACAGTCACACGCGTCCCCTCCCCGCCTGGTTTCTCTTTTCCCCGCTGCCTGCTTCAGCCTGGCTCTTGGCATGGCCCACACAATAGATAAGGAGGAAGAGGATAGCTTGGGAGGGTTTGGGAGGCTGATGTGCCAATCCAGGTGGGAGCTGGCAAGGCCAGAGCAGACACTTCAATGGGGCATGCCAAGGGTCATTGAGTCAAGATGGCAGAGGCTAGACATGAGTACAGGGCTGAGGAAGGGCAACCAGGCAGCCAGAAATGTCTCAGAGCCAGGGGCGTGGTGAACAAGCAGGTAACATGAGGGTGGGCACACCGAAGGACCCATACCACCCTCGGCGGCTCTGCTCTGCTCTTACAGATGCTCCTCCTGGCCCGGAGCTCCCAGCCAGCCCACAGCGGCTCTTGTCTCTAGTGGTTTCTGCCTGTCCCTGCCCATCATGCATCTCTCCTACCTAGAATGATGCACAGCTCCTTATTCCCACTTCCGGAGCTGCATGTGTAGCTCCAGTCATTGGAAAAGCAAGCACAGCCTGGTACTGAATTTCTCCCCTAATTCGCTTTCTGCAGGTTACAGGAGGGGCATTTACCTGCCACTTTGCAGAAGGTGAGAAAGGCACCTCAAGAAAAGGAATAAGCTGAAGTGAATAAAATTCATATTCACATGCTTTCTTGTTTTTATTTTCTTTTTATTTGTTTGTTTTTAGAGACAGGATCTTGCTGTGTTGCCCAGGCTAGAGTGCAGGGATGCAGTCATGGCTCACTGCAGCCTTGAACTTCTCCTGGGCTCAAGTGATCCTCCTGCTTCAGCCTCCTGAGTAGTTTGGACGACAGGTGTGCAACCACCATGCCCAGCTAATCTATGTTTTTGAAGAGACAGGGTCTTCACTTGTTGCCCAGGCTGATCTCAAATTCCTGGCCTCAAGCAATCCTCCTGCCCGGGACTCCCAAAGTGCTGTGATTACAAGCATGAGCCACCGTGCCTGTCCTTGCTTTTACTTTGAAGTCAATCAGGCAGCATAAAAAAAAAAAAAGTTCTGGAGAGGTCAGGCGCGGTGGCTCACACCTGTAATCCCAGCACTTTGGGAGGCTGAGGCAGGTGGATCACAAGGTCAAGAGATCGAGACCATCCTGGCCCACATGGTGAAACCCCGTCTCTACTGAAAATTCAAAAATTAGCTGGGCGTAGTGGCAGGTGCCTGTGGTCCCAGCTACTCGGCAGGCTGAGGCAGGAGAATCACTTGAACCCGGGAGGTGGAGGTTGCAGTGAGCTGAGATTGTGCCACCGCACTCCAGTCTGGTGATAGAGCTAGACTCCGTCTCAAAAAAAAAAAAAAAAAAGTCCCGGAGAAACATATCAAAGAGCACACAGCTAGCCAGACAAGTAAATTAGCCTTTGGTTGCCCTGTTCCTCACTTGTGTACAAAGGTGTGAACGTGCATGTGTTTGTGTGCGTGTGCATACACACCTATGTGTTTTAAGGGGTGTATGACACCTCCCCACCCAGAGAGAAGCCTGCTCCCTCTTCTGTGATCCCCTCCCCAATTCTGTCTTGTAGTGGACAAAAGCCTTGTGGTCATTCTGTCTAGGATTCAGAGCCCAGCCCCAGATCTAACCTCTCCTGTCATCTTGGGCAAGTCACTTGACTTTTTTTTTTTTTTTTTTTTTTTGAGGCAAAGTTGCCCAGGCTGGAGTGCAGTGGCGCGATCCCAGCTCACTGCAACCTCCGCCTCCTGGGTTCAAGTGATTCTCCTACCTCAGCCTCCCAAATAGCTGGGATTACAGGCACCCACCACCACGTCCAGCTAATGTTTTGTATTTTTAGTAGAGACGGGGTTTGACTATGTTGGCCAGGCTGTCACGAACTCCTGACCTCAATCACCTGACTTATGGAGGATAATAACACCTGTTTCTCGGAGTGGTTAGAGTAAATGGAGGCAAAGCACTTAGCATCCTCTCTGGCACATGGAAACAGTAAACAGGAGGGGTTATTAAGGTGCCTCTCAGCCCTGAGAGTGTACTTGTGTAATATTAAACATTCATTGGCCCCTGCAGAGACAAAGGGAAAGCTTCCCTTTCTCCTCGTGAAGGCTCGCTGAAAATCAACAGACAAAAGGAAGATTAATTGGAGAAAAGACAAAATTTATTTCAACGTGCAGAGCATGAGGGAATCACAGAAGTTACCCAATAACCCAGTGGGGTACAGGTGCATGCGCCCTTCTTCACGGGGGAAGGAGAGATGGGGGACACGTGGCAATTTGAAGGACAGTCAATGGTTTTTAGGGGGGAAATGAATGAGTCCAGCGTCCAGATGATAATTAATAATTTCTTTGGACATTGAAAGGGAAAGAGAGCAGATAATGGTTTGGGATGAAGTTTATCTGGGCTGTAGGTGTGGTGTTTAATGTTCAGTCTCATATCCTCTAGGATATGAGTTTTAACCTCTAGCTAATGATATTCCAGGGAAGGTAATTGTGTTCCCCTTTGGCAGGTCCCGTTTCTAGGCAGATAAAGAAACTTCAGAGAACAGCGTCATCCTGCACTTTGAGAGAGACAGAGGATTCAGAGAAGGAGGCAGGGAGGTCAGATAGACCTTGAGGCTGCTTCATGTCAGAGCGCCATATTTTAGGGCAATGCTTTCTGAGCCCCTAACCCCCCATCCATGTCAGTTGCTGTGCTGGTACCAGGACAAGAAACATGAATAAGATACGTTACCCCTCAAGGTTTTACAGCCCAGCCAAGGGAGGCAGGCAGGGCAGGTGCAGGACAGGAGAGCAGTAACAGTAACAATACAACATGGTGGTCGGGCACAGTGGCTCAGGCCTGTAATCCCAGCACTTTGAGAGGCCAAGGCAGGCAGAACACTTGAGGTCAGGAGTTTGAGACCAGCCTGACCAACATGGTGAAACCCCGTCTCTACTAAAAATACAAAAATCAGCCAGGTGTGGTGGTGGGCACCTGTAATCCCAGCTACTCCAGAGGCTGAGGCACAAGAATCGCTTGAAACTGGGAGGTGGAGGTTGCAGTGAGCTGAGATCTTGCCATTGCACTTCAGCCTGGGTGACAGAGCGAGACTCCATCTTAAAACAAACAACAAACAAACAAACAAGCCCGTGGATTTGGTGCTTATGAGGTCAGCTTCTGCTCTCAGTGCTATGTATGAACCAAATCACTTCATCCTCACAGCAATCCTATAAAGTGGATTATTGCCACGTCTCAGATGAGGAAATCCAGGCCCCTCTGCCCACACTCACGGCCAGGGAGTTGGAGGTCAGGGTGCTCCGGAGGCTGCCCTTTGAACCGTCCCCTGCTGCAGCTCTCCCTGGAGCAAGAGGGCACAGTCCAGGGAATTCATAAAAGGGACTATGCGTGGGTGTGGAGGTGCCTCTCAGACCCAGAACCAGCCCCCCAACCCATGGCGGTTCTCTGTGTTTCCACTTCTCAGATACTCCTCGCCACGCTGTTGCCAGGATCCATGTCTGTCCCTCCCCATGGGGCGAATGCCCCCTCTCAGGGCTGGTCTTTATCCTCCATGCCCCCAGATCCTGCCACAGGGCCTGTCCCTAGGAAGTACCCTGGAATGAATGGAGGAGACAGGCTGAGTGCTGGGTGCGGGCTGAGTGGGGGACTTGGACAAAGGCAA
The DNA here is from genome assembly GCF_000001405.40 of Homo sapiens. Taxonomy (NCBI): domain Eukaryota; kingdom Metazoa; phylum Chordata; class Mammalia; order Primates; family Hominidae; genus Homo; species Homo sapiens. The sequence goes on along the minus strand of NC_000022.11, from coordinate 37,033,995 downwards.
TGGGAGTAGAGGTGGAGGTCTGACCGGCTGTAGGTAAGTGGGACAGAGTCTCAGATCACTTGCTGCCAGGTGTGGGCCTGGGTGACCCACAAGTGGTGACCGTGCACACTGAGACAGGGGACACAGGTGGAGGAGCAGGCTTGGGGCTGGGAGGCCATGACTCAGGGATCTGAGTTCAGGAGGAATCGAGTTGCGGGAGGCCCCGATTCCAGAGTCACTGGCTCAGCACAGTCGTTGAAACCATCCGAATGGCAGCATTATCTAGAGAGCGGGCCCGCCTCGAAGCAGGCCGAGGGAGACTCCAGAGAACACAGACGGGAAACCAGAAGGGCAGTCAGCTAGGATTCAGTATCGAGGACCTGAAGACCTCAACATCCTGACAGTTGAGGGGCAAGGAGCCCCTGCAGGTATCGCTGTGCAATCAAGGGATCAAACAAAGCCCCCAGAAGTTCAGGCAAGATCAGCCTACCAAGTTCCACCCCTAGTAGGTTAATAGGCAAAAAATTTAGGTGCTTAAAATAACACTTTCCGTTAACCTGAATATTTCAACATTTCATCTTCCCCCAAGTGATTCATCCTCCATGAGTTAAGGATAATAAAGCTCCATTGTGCTTATAGAGCTGAGGTTATTCCAGTAGGTGTGACACCTGACTTCATTTTGAGCCTTACCTGATGTGACATCACACCCACACTGGGCATGGCAGAACTGAGTTTGCTCCCATTTTTCAGATGAGAAGACTGAGGCCCCAACAGGAAGGCTCTGGAACGCAGACCTTCTGGGGCCTTGTGCAAAGCTGATTCCACAGCACCAGGACCAGATCGCTGCATGGATCCATATTCAGCCCACTGTGTGGATGGGGGCTTTGATCTCTGGAGGCAATGACCCAGGAAGTGGAAAACATTCCAGGGCAGCTGGTTAGGCAAGGTTGGGAAACGCATTTCCAACTGTTCCTGACACAGAGGGGGCGCCGAGCAAATATTTGCCAAGTGGATAAAAATTTCATCATTCTTGTTGCTCAGTGTTGCAAGTTCCTGCCTCGAACACACAGGTTGGGTAGGGCGGGCCCTGGCAGAGGCCAGGATCCTGCAGTCAGTGGTTAATTATTCTAAGAGTTCAGGCTTGCAGGAGGCGGGACGGAGCTGGGCGGAGGGTGCGTGTCTAGTTCATTCCTAACAAACTCCTGCAAAGTTAAACTGAAGCTCTGTAGTCCTAGAAAGGTGCGGCTAGATCGCCCACCTCTAGGCAGGTCACCTCCGAGCCTGTCCAGACCCAAGGAGGACCTTCCCAGGAGAAAAAAGCCCGGGCTGGAATCAGCCTTGGTTTCCTTGCTGCAGGTTGGACTAGGGTAGGGGAAGGGCGCCTAACCCAAACCCATTGGTTAAATTCCACTGCTCAAGGTTTCCCTGTGGAGCTGAGAAACACGTGGCCATCTTCCCTGAGCTTCTCATGCGTTTCTGTTCTCACCTTGATCCTGGAATCTGGAAAACCATGGCAGGCAAGATCCGCTGGAGAAACTCCTCCCCTGGAGAATTCTAACTCCAGTTAGGTTCCTCTAGCAAACTAGCTGTGTGCCCTGAGGCAAATCACTGAACCTCTCTGAGCTTGTTTTCCCACCTGTAAAATTAGTCTGTTGTGAAATAGATCATTTCACAGCACCCCCTTCTCTCTGGAAATGTACTCTAAAAGACTAGTTTCTCCTCCCTAGTTTGGAAGCTTTGAGAGGGCTGGGACACAATTCTATTTGTCACTCTCTCTCCTCCAATGCCGGAAGTGCAGAAGGCACTTAACATGCTGAATAAGTAAAACTCCTTTAAAACTAATGGGAAGAAACCCTTGGTGTTTACTCTGCACCAAGCAAAACAGTTTCTGTGGATTATCTCATGTAATCCTCATACTGCTCAGGAAGGTACTTCTTTTTTTGAGATACGATCTTGCTCTGTTTCCCAGGCTGGAGTGCGGTGGTGTCATCACAGCTCACTGCAGCCTTGACCTCCCAGGCTCAAGCGATCTTTGCACTTCAGCCTCCCAAGTAGCTGTGACTACAGGCACATGCCACTCTGCCCGGCTCATCTTTTTTCTTATTTTTGCCTACAGATGAGGTCTCACTATGTTGTCCAGGCTGGTCTTGAACTCCTGAGTTCAAGTGATCCTCCCACCTATGCCTCCCAAAGTGTTGAGGTTACAGGCGTGAGCCACCGTGCTGGCCAGGAAGGTACTATTTTGCCCGTTTTACAGGTGAAGAAACGGGTCTGGGCGCTGTGGCTCACGCCTGTAATCCCAACACTTTGGGAGGCCGAGGAAGGTGGATCACGAGGGCAGGAGTTTGAGACCAGCCTGGCCAACATGGTGAAACCCTGTCTCTACTAAAAATACAAAAATTAGCCGGGCGTGATGGTGAGTGCCTGTAATCCCAGCTACTCAGGAGGCTGAGGTAGGAGAATCGCTTGAACCCGCGAGGCAGAGGTTTCAGGGAGCCGAGATCGTGCCATTGCACTCCAGCCCGCGCAACAGAGCAAGACTCTTATCTCGGGGTGGGGGGGAAAAAAGAAACGGAAGCCTGCAGAGGCTGGGCAGCATGTTCGAGGTCAGGCTGCCTTGTGTGGAGTGGTTGGGACTGGAAGCTGGATCAGAACCTCACATGTTTGCAGACAAACTTGTCTCCTCAAAGTGGCAGAGCCATTCCAGGAAGGAAAACTAAAGCTTGTCTGAGACCGGCCAGAAAGGGGGGAGTGTCTAAACTGCCTCACTTCCACTTCTGGGAGAAGGTGCTTATGATGGGGAGTCGGGGAGCCCCTCCATGTTGGGGTTCCCTGTCTACACTGTTCCTGACTGCAGTGGTCAATTGTGTTATTTGCCCCTAGGGCAGTGGTTCTTGACTGGGGGTGATTTTTGCCCCCCAGGGGACATCCGGCCACATCTGGAGACTTTCAGTTGTCATAACTGGGCAGTGTTACTGGCATCTAGTGGGCAGAGGCCAGAAACGCGGCCAAGCATCCCCCAGCACACAGGACGGCCCCCATGACAAGGAATCATTCAGTGTAAATGTCAGCAGCACTGAGGCTGAGAACCCCCGGTGTGGAAAACGGGGACTCTGCAGTGGACTCTTGGAAGGGCTCTCATCTGAGTTTCTTCTTCGGAAGTACACGATTCCCATGTTTTAGGGGAGGAAACTGAGGCTCCGAGAGGTTGGGAGTTACTTTAGAGCTCTTACTTGGAAAACCAAGATTCTAGGCTGTGTCGATTTCTCCCGTCCCTGCGGACTTGGGAAATGACTCAGCATCAGGGGGAAGTTGAGGGGATACAGTCAGGTGAAAAGAGGAATAAACTGAGTCAGGGAATCTGGATCTGGCCCTGGCTCTTCATAAATTCAGTGTGGCCTTGGTAAGTCACTGCCCCTCTCTGGTCTCGTTTCCAAAGGAAGGGCCAATAAGATAACTTCGAGCTCTCCCCAGTACCGCCTGGCAGGACACTGCCCCTGCGCTGCTGAGATGGTGCCTGAGGGCTGGAAAGACGGGGAGGGGCAATCCAGGTCGTGATGGGCAGGGGGGAGTTTGGGGCCTTCTCAGACACCTACGTCCACCTCTGCACAAAGGATAAATCCCGGGCAAGGAGGATGGAACCCCTACCCTTGGGAAATGGGGAGAGATGTTCTCTTTGAGCAGAAAGAATCAAACTCCCTGGGTCCACCCACTCCGGGAATTCCACAGACCAGCCCCCAAGTGTGAGCTTCCAGAGTTTAGAGCCAGGTTCTCCTCCAATTCAGCTCAGCTTAGCCCTTCCCTAGAACATCCCAGCTGGGCTGGGACATTCCTCCTTGGCATGGCACAGGCTTCTGTTAAGCTCTGGCCCCATCTTCTTCTGGAAATGAGATGTACTATTTACCTGCTAGAAGGGCAGGTGGTGGGAGAGTAGCTTTGGGTGGGACCACAGACATGTCACAGCAAAATTCACCTTAAATAGCCCAGATGCCAGAAGGGAGAACGCCCAGGATTATGGGGTGAGGGACAGCTTGCTAGGGGCTAGCTCAGTCACAGAAGTGGGGAGCTCTGGGGCCCCAGCACTGCTTGGAAGGCAGAGACAGGATCTCCAAGACCCTCAGGCTCCCCAGAGTGACCTTTGCTGGGCATGACAGAACCCCTGGCTCCTTAGGAAAACCGAGGCAGCCCCAGAGCTACAAGATTTAGCACTTGGTTATTTTATTTCCTCAAAAATAAAACAGAAAGGAGGCGGGGCCCCAGCTCAGCACCAGGTGGGCAGCTCGGAGTTGTGGCCTCCCTCCTCCAGGGCTCGCCTCCGCCTTTCCTCCCGCCCCTACTGGCAGCCAACAAGTCAACGGAATTCCTGGCCTTTGAGATGTCACCCCAAATGCCACCTGAGTTGAGTGAAGAAACACTCTCTTGGTGAAAGCAGAAGCGGAGCTACCAGGCCAGGCATTGCTGGTGGCCGGCATCACCTGAGCTCGCCTGTGTCCTGCCCAGCTTCAGTGGGTCTTCCCCCGGCCCTCTGAGATGACATCCTCGGGCCGGGCGCGCATGTACCACTCCACCCAGGAGCCATCGTAGATGGGCACGTCTGGCTTGCCGCAGAGGTAGGCCCCTAGTGCCACGTGGCAGGCTGTGACGCCAGAGCCACACGTGGCCACCAGTGGCTTAGACAGGTCCACTTTCTTCTCCTGGAACAGATGGCGGATCTCCTCAGGGCTCTTCTCCAGCCCCTCCTGGCTCAGGAAGTCTGTGAAGGGGATGTTCACGGTACCTGGGATGTGGCCAGGTTCAATGCCTACAGCAGGGGAGCAGGGAGGAGGGGACAAATAGAAGGATGCTATGAATGGTACCTCGTATTTGTGGTGCTCGAGATATTGAGAGCATCCCATGCAAGCATGGTGCTAAATCCTTTATATCCACCATCTCATTTAATTCTCACAACCATAAAACCTGAGCACTGTTTAGAGGAGCCCCCATTTTATACACGGTGATGCTGAGGTTAAGTACCACCTGAGGCTAACACATCTAGCAAATTGCTGACTGAACTTTGAACCTAAGAACTGGGCCCCAAGGTTTCCTGACTATGCACCCTAGGGACAGCAAAGCAATAAACAAGACCCCTGCCTAGCTAGAACGTGCAGTACCTGCAGGCAAGGAGCTTTAATCTGGCAGGGCAGACAGGCAACTGAATAATTACAAGCATAATGGGTGTTCCAAAAGTGCCCTACTGGGTGGCCTGGGGCATGTAAAAAAAAAATAACGCCAGTAACAGCAATAGCTGATATTATTATTACTGAGACAGGGTCTCATTCTGTTGCCCAGGCTGAAGTGCAGTGGCATGATCAAGGCTCACTGCAGCCTCAACCTCCTGGGCTCAAGCAATCCTCCTGCCTCAGCTTCCCCCCGAGGGGCTGGGACTACTACAGGCACATGCCACCATGCTCAGCTAATTTCCTTTTTTTGTTCTTTTTTTTTTTTTTGAGATGGAGTTTTGCTCTTGTTGCCCAGGCTGGAGTGCAGTGGCATGATCTTGGCTTACTGCAACCTCCACCTCCTGGGTTCAAGTGATTCTCCTGCCTCAGCCTCCTGAGTAGCTGGGATTACAGGCACCCATCACACCTGGCTAATTTTTGTATTTTTAGTAGAGACGGGGTTTCACCATATTGGCCAGGGTGGTCTCGAACTCCTGACCTCAGATGATCCACCTGCCTTGGCCTCCCAAAGTGCTGGGATTACAGGTGTGAACCACCACGCCTGGCCTAATTTGGTTTTTATAGACATGGGGTCTCAGTATGTGGCTCAGGATGGTCTTGAATTCCTGGCCTCAAGTAATCCTTCTGCCTCAGCTTCCCAAAGTGCTGGGAATATAGGAGTAAGCCACCTTGCCTGGCCAATAGCTGATGTTATTGAATGCTTACTTTCTGCCAGGCACTGTTTGGAGACGGTCAGCTATACTTTCTCCTTGAATCCACCCCAAAATTCTCTGGGAAAGAAATTATTATCCTCTCTTTTGTAAAGATGAAGAGAATGAAGTACAAAGACTAGCTTGTGCAAGCTAGCAGAGGGCAGGGAGGAGTAAACCCAGGCAAGTCTATGCTTCCCACCTTCACGCCACACTGGCTGGGGGCTCAGTGGGTGGAGGAAGTTTCTCTGAGAATGCCCCGAAGGATGAGTAGGATTCAGTCACATAAAGGGGTCTGGGTGGATGGAGGCCTAGAGCATCCCAGGCAGAGGGAATCTGAAAGGCGAGGGAACCACCTGTTGCCCGGAGGGGTTAAAGGTCATTGTCACGAAAGCCCAGACAGTGAGAAGCCAGAGGCCCAAAGGGGAAGCTGAAGGGGATGGGAACGCCTTAGCAGGCCTGGAGTAAGACTTGGGGGCTTTGACCTGACTGCAGGGGGAACTCAGGCTTCTGCGTTTACTTTTTTACTGTTACTTTTAATTTTTTTTATTGAGAAGGGGCTTGCCATCATGTCCAGGATGGTCTTGAACTCCTGGGCTCAAGGGATCCTCCCACCTCAGCCTTCCAAAGTGTGAGGATTATAGGTAGGAGTTACCTTGCCCAACCTAGATTTCCATTTTTAAACGATCATTTTGATTGTAGCAGAAAGAATGGGATGGGAAAGGCCCACACCTCTGCAGACTCCCAGGGTGTTTTTTGTTTTCACTGCCCCACCTTGAGGCAGGGGTTACTAACATTCCCATTTTCATGCAGGACTGGGATTTGCAACAAAATAAACCTTCACAACTAACGCTTGGGCTGGGCACGGTGGCTCACGCCTGTAATCCCAGCACTTTGGGAGGCCGAGGGGGGCAGATTACCTGAGGTTGGGAGTTCGAGACCAGCCTGACCAACATGGAGAAACCCCGTCTCTACTAATAATACAAACATTAGCCGGGCGTGGTGGCACATGCCTGTAATCCCAGCTACTCGGGAGGCTAAGGCAGGAGAATCACTTGAACCCGGGAGGCGGAGGTTGTGGTGAGCCGAGATTGCGCCACTGTACTCCAGCTGGGAAACAAGAGCAAAACTCCGTCTCAAAACAATAACAACAACAACAACAGAAACAAACACAAACAAAAAACCCCCCAAAAACGAATGATTCAAATCTGAGCCATTCAGACTCTTGTCCAGCTTCTGCCTTGGTTTCCCTCCGCAGTGGAGTGACACCCCCACAGGAGCTGCTGACCCATGTATCGGTATCTATTCTCAGACCCTGGCATAGAGACAGCACTCCCGAGTCTGTGGAGAGGCTGGAATGGGTCATGCATCCCACCTAACAGACACAGTTACCGGGCTTGGTCAGATATCACATAGAGACCAGCCCAGAGCAAGGAGGAGGAACAAACTCTCAACCCAGGGTGGTGACTGTAAAGGGAGGGCCATCCCTACACCTTGAATCCCACCAAGCAAAGCATGTTTCCCCTGCCTGCTGGACTGGTGTGGCACATCACAGGAGCACTTGGCCAGGCCTCAGGCTGTGGAGTGGGAATGATGACGACAGTGACATTCATCACTGATCCAGCTGCAGTGAGCTTAGTTTGTTTTGACAACAAGCCTGCTAGGCGTGTATCACCTCCCATTCTATAGATGAGCTAGTGCGACTGAATAAGTGTCAGGCACAAGTGTGCAGCACACTTGTGCATGAAAACCCGGAGCTGAGTGCTTTACACACTTGCTCTCCTTGCCCCTATCATGTCTTTATGCTCTGTGTTACTGCTCCCATTCTACATAGGCAGAAGCTGCAGTTCAGAGACATTAGATGACCCGTCGTGTGTCACAAAGCCCATGTAAATGTGGCAGGGATCTGAACCCCAGTCTGGCACCACCAGCTAGCTCCCCTGTGTTGCTCATTCCCCTGGGGCTGAGATGGAGAACCCAACAGGATTAAGGTGGTGCTCTCATTAGGCTGAACCACATGAAACTGACACCTGTGTAGGTTCAAAAATGGTTGGATATCAGCTGTTTCCTATGGTTCCGGTAACACCAACATTGCTTTGCAGGATTCCATGCAACAGGGACCTTCTGTATTCACCAAACCTCTCTGGAACATCGACTCTGTGCCAGGTACTGAGCTAATCTTCAGGATGCATGAAGAGCAGGGACAGTCCTTGCCCTCAGGCCATCCAAAACAATGCTGGCCCATGGTGAGCCCAAGCGGCTCCAAACCCAATCTGTAGCCATGGGAATGCTCTTCAGAGAGCTCTCTAGGGGCAGTGGTCAGTTTCTTGCACTCTTGAAGGCACAAGAGAAAGGGCTGGGGAGTTCCTGGTTGCTCACGGCTGTTAAGTGCGCAGGCTGCCGAGTCTGAATCCCGGCTGGGTTGTTTCTTGAGACCTTGGGCCAGGTTCCATTTCCTCCTCTGTGCAATGACAGTATCTACTTACACGGGATGTTTGAAAGACTCACACTAGCGTGACCACTGACCAGCCTGCTTTGTGGGGACTCCTCCTCGCATTATACAGAGCTTACCCACAGGCTTCTTGCCTGAGGAAATCCAGCCCACAGGCAGAAGGCTCTGCCCTACCCACTTCTGTTTAATCCCCCTTCCACCCTCAGTTCTCCAAGCTTTGGTCCCTGGAAGAGACTTTCCTTTATGCAGCCCCCGACTCTGCCTTCATTCCACCATCCTCAGGGGCATGGGTAGCCCTGATCAGGACCATCCCTCTGGGTTTTTCTCTCATACTGGGGCCTGCCCCCCAACATTCCACAGTGACCCCCCACACCTCTAGTGTTGGATTGAGAGCTGTTTGGGCAACCAGGGTTCCCAATGAGCTAGGGAGAGTCACTGCCCAAAGCACAGGAGGGGAAGGGCCAGTATTATGGTTCTGCTTAACAGACAAAGTCACCGAGGCAAGTGGAAGTCAAATCTCCTTCCCCACCTCATGCAGTGGCCTTTAAAGGCAAGGTCAGGCTGAGCGGGGAGGGTCACCTGAGCCCAGGAGGTTGAGGCTGCAGTGAGCCATGATTGTGCCACTGCACTCCAGCCTGGGCGGTAGAGCCAGACCCTGTGAAAAGAAGGCAAGGGTAGGGAAAAGGGGGAAAGGAGGGAAGGGAAAGGGAAGGAAAGGAAAGAAAAAAGGAAAGGAAATGAAAGCAAGATAAATTAAAAAAATAAAAGAAAGGTCAAGTCCAGGGCACTGCTCAGGGCGTAGAGGCCGCGCCCCCGACGACCTCCTGCCCCCTTCCCCCGCGTTACCGTCTCGGGGCTCGGGCTCGGTGCCGCGGAACCTGCCAGTGGCTCGGGAGTCCACCACCTGGAAGCGCCGGGATTCCAGGTTCTCCTTGATGTCCTCGTAGGTCTTGATGAAGGCGGGGTCGAGCTGAGCGCGGAACTCGGCGGGAGCAGGTTGGCTCTTGCCGGAGCTGAGCGGGAGGTTCTGGCGCAGCCAGTGGCGGAGGCCGCCATCAAGCAGTGACACGGCGTGGTGGCCGAAGGCGCGGAACATCCACCAGACGCGCGGGGCGGAGTAGAGGCCCTGGTCGCTGGCGTCGTAGATCACGACGTGGGTGGCCGCGCCCACGCCCAGGCGGCCTGCGTACTCCGCGAAATGCTCGGCCCCGGGCAGCATGTGGTCGTAGGGCGAGGTGCGGTCGCTGCACTGGTCGATGTCGAAGAAAGCGGCGCCCGGGATGTGGCGCTCCTCGAACTCGCGTCGCGCGTCGCGCCCCAGCTTCGGCAGGTACCAGGAGGCGTCCAGCAGCTGCAGAGGCTGCCCAGCGCGCGGGGCCCGCAGCGCCTCCGCCACCCATTGCGCCGACACCAGCGCGCGGCAGAGCTGCGGCGAAGCCATGGCGGCGACACTCGGGCTGCGGGCCTGGGCGACAGGGAGGATGTCAGAAGGGAAGCAGGGAGAGGCCGCTGTTGGGGCTAGGGCTGGGGCTGGAGCATGGGCGAGGGCCGGCGGGGGAGGTGCGGCCCGTGCAGGGCAGAGTCCAGGGAACGCAGAAACCAGTGGTGGTGAACCCGGGCACAAAGGTGGGTAGCCAGGGGCCTCCCTCTGCCAGGCCTCATATAAACACAAGCTCCGAGTGACCCAATGACCATGACCTCCCGGAGAGCCCCAGGCCACGCCCCTCACCTCCACTTGCTGGGCAGGAGGGTGGGTGGAGGTATCCTAGGGCAAGGCCCTGCTGGCTTCAAGGCACAAACAGGGGCAAAGTCTCCACCCCTCCCTAAGATGCAGCTCGGCTTTATTTGCAACCAAGTCCCAGACGGAAGTCATTCATTCACTCATCAAGCATTTATATTGGCGACCTAATAGGAACAGTAGCTGGAATTTACTGAGTCCTTGCTGGGTACCACTGAATCCTAACAATATCCTAGAACAATGCCTGACACAGTAGACTCTCCAGTATGTGTTGAATGAGTGATCTTAAGAGGCCTGGTATATTATTGTCACCGTTTCAAGGAGGACACTCAGGCTCACAGAAGTGCACTAACCTGGCCTGGTGCGGTGGCTCACGCTTGTAATCCCAGCACTTTGGGAGGCCCAGGCAGGTGGATCACCTGAGGTCAGAAGTTTGAAACCAGTCTGGCCAACATGGTGAAACCCCGTCTCTACCAAAAATACAAAAAATTAGCCGGGCTTAGTGGAGGGCACCTGTAATCCCAGCTACTCGGGAGGCTGAGGCAGGAGAACTGCTTGAACCCAGGAGGCGGAGGTTGCAGTGAGCCGAGATCGTGCCATTGCAATCCAGCCTGGGGAACAAGAGCAAAACTCTGTCTCAAAAACAAAAAACAAACAAGAAAAAGTGCACTAGCCTGACCCGGCGGTGCCAGGCTTCTCACTAGGCAGTCAGTCTGGCACCAGAATCCGGACTTCTCAGACACACACTCTGTGCAGGCTCCAGGAGTCTGGCGAGGCCAGGTTTTGCCTGTCCAGCCTGGGCTCTCTCTGGCCCTTCTAGCAGCAGCAACAGTGACTTCGCACCTCCCTCCCTCTCCTCTCTATCTTTCCTGCATACCAGAGACAGTGCACCAGCTCGCCAGCCCACTATGCCAGGCCAGCCCACAGCCTTCCTGGGTGTAAACTTCCCAAACACTTTAAGCCCTTTGTGCTGGGAAGCCACCGTTGTGCAGGTGAGAGGAAAGGGCCCCTTCTGCCAGGCAGAGGCTGAGCCCCCACCAGGGCACATGGCTGGGTGTGTGGAGTATGGGCTGCAGATCAGCCCTCACTTATCCCCTGTGTGAGGCCCAACCTTGACACCCACTGCATGCAGTCCTGCCAGCGAAATGAAGGGGGCAGGTAGAGAACAACATCTGTGGACCGAGTGCCTCTGTGGGCCAGGTCACATGCTAGGCACCGCAGCCTTGGGCGGGTATTAGGACGCCTGCTTTATGAATGAGGCCACTGGCAATTAGAAGAATAAGTGCCTTGCCCGTGGTCACAGGAGGCAGCCTCAGGATTTGCAGCCAGAATTTGACCCCTCAGGCTGGACTTCCCCTGCCCCAGGTGCCATGATGACCAGGGCCTAATGAGTTCTAGGGTGACACCCTGTGCCCACCCCCACAGTCTGGCCGCAGCTGGCTTTTAGGAACCTACTTCACCCATGCGGTCAGGCCTTGTGCCGGACACCGAGGCACTCTTGCCTTTGCCAAGCCCTGGGGGGAAACGTCAGGCTGCAGGCAAGAGAGAGTGAAATTGAGGATAGTTTAGAATTCAGTGTTGAGCACAGAGGGCCCCTATGTTTGCCTGGGGTGGCAGCAGAAGAGGTGGGAAGGCTTCCTGGAGTAGGAGGAAGTCCAGACTAATCTGACTTTTCCAGGGGCCCAGGAAGCCTCAGCACGGTCTTTAGGGTAGGGAGGCTGCCAAGGGGTGTTTGGCTAAGGGGTGATCCCCATTATCTGCGTTACAGCACAGCTAGGGGGCGCTGTGCTGGCAGATGCTGCAGGTTCCTTCCTGAGGAACCCTATTGTGGGAACCACAGCAGCCCCTGTGCACCCCCAAACACTGTCCCCTATTCTTGAGGATCCTTGTTTCCCTCACCCAATCATCCATTTACAGTAGAAAGAGCCCTGGTTTAGGAGCCAGAGAGCCCCCCAAATCAATGTAAACCCCACTCCACTGCTTAACTGGTTGTGTGATGTGGGTGTGTAGGGTCTCTGGGTGGTTTCTGTTCCTTATAATGGAGCTTCTCACCTCCACCTCTTAGAGCCAAGATTAAACAATAAATGTAGAGGGGCAACCACCATGCATTACATCTGGCTGGTTTTAATAATCATTAAAAACGGTTTAGGTCGGGCGTGGTGGCTCACACCTGCAATCCCAGCACTTCGGGAGGCCAAGGCGGGCGGATAACGAGGTCAAGAGTTCAAGACCAGCCTGACTAACATGGTGAAACCTCATCTCTACTAAAAATACAAAAATTAGCTGGGCATGGTGGCATGAGCCTGTAGTCCCAGCTACCCGGGAGGCTGAGGCAGGAGAATCGCTTGAACCTGGGAGGCAGAGGTTACAGTGAGCCGAGATCGCGCCACTGCACTCCAGCCTGGGCAACAGAGTGAGACTCCATCTCAAAATAATAATAATAATAATAATATTGCATTATTTCTTCCATTACTCTCATTGGTGGCCCTGGAACTGCCAGCAGCAAATCTAAAATCTTAGAATTTCAGGGCTTGGTGGGACTTCAGAGATCTGAGGTCACCCTGCCCCAGTCTCCCTGCTTGATTGGCACTTCTCACAAAGGTCTGTGGGCCATAAAGGAGGGTGTGAAGGCAGGCTGTGGGTGTCAGGGAGGGGTAGAAACCAGGTGCCTGTGTGATTCAGAAGCCGGGATCACTGTAGGTGAGGGTGCCCTGGGAGTGGAGGACCCCAGGACGTAACCGCCCCAGGCTCATGTCAGAAGGATACACAGCTGCACTGAAGCAAGCGTGAGCCGCAGGCTGGATCCAGGGTACCCCTTGAGGAGCAGAGCTTGGGAGCTCCTCTTGGACCTCCCCAGCCTGGTCCCTCCTGCCCACCCCCTCCCCCAACCACCAGACACTAGGCTTTGAGGATTGCTGTGAGCATTTTAGAACAAAACCTTTTTTTAAAAAGAGGGATGAGGCCAGGGATGGTGGCTCATGCCTGTAATCTCAGCACTTTGGGAGGCTGAGATGGGCAGATCACTTGAGCCCAGGAGTTCAAGACCAGCCTGGACAACATGGTGAAACCCCATCTCTACCAAAAATTTAAAAATTAGCCGGGAATGGTGGCACATGCCTGTGGTCCCACCTACTTGGGAGGCTAAGGTGGGAGGATCGCTTGAGCCTGGGAGGCGGAGGTTGCAGTGAGCTGAGATGGCGCCACTGCACTCCAGTCTGGGCCACAGAACCACAGCCTGTCTCAAAAAACAAAACAAAACAAAAGGTCAGGGTTGGGAAACAGGGAAAGCTTCCAGGCTGGCCTCTGCAAAAGCTAGGGAGGGGCAATGGTGTCCCCCAGTTTGCAAGAGCCCATGGCGAGCTTTTCAGGAATTTTGCCAACTGGTTGTTAAATACAGCTATTATTAAAAATTGAATTACATCAACTTATGATTAAACGGGCTAAGTTCAAAACAGGCAATTTTTTAAAAAGCATGAACCTTCAGGGAAGAGCCAGGTAAACAAAGGCAGCTGGTACCACGTGGGCTTCAGACCAGGGATCAGGCCCGGCCTCAACTCTGGGTGTGTCCTCCAGCAACTCGCTCTGCCGCTCTCTCCTGTCTTAGTAAGTTTCTGGCCTACTCCTCAGGGTTATTGTGGGAATTAAGTCACACCACGGGAGTACCCAGCAAAGTGCCACACCAAGCAGGGCTGGACAATGTTAGTTCCTTTCACTCACTAACAAGTTATTGGCTAGTGTCTCTTCCTGGGGCCTCTGGGTCAGCGGGGTCTCGTCTCCCTGTCCTCCTCTCTCTCCCCCGCCCTCTCTGGTGCCACCAGGTCACCCACTTCCACCCAAGGCTCCCCACCCGCCACTCGCCACGACCCCACCCGGCAGGCCGCCCCAAGCGGACAGTCACCCTTAGTGCCAACGTAGCGGCGCGCCTTCTCTCCTAGACTAAGCCCCCTCTTCCGCCCAGGTCCCGCGCGGGAGCCCCGCGCCGAGCACCCCCAAAGAGCCACTCCCTCCCCCTCCAGAAAGGCAAGCCGCCACGCCGCGGCAGTTACCCGGGTCTCGGACTCCCGGCTTCCTGGCTCCGCCATGGCCCCCGCGGCGCGGCGCCCCCTCCCCGCGCCCGCAGCTGTCCCCTCCTCCCGCCACCAACCTGCAGCGGACCAAAGGGAGGAGACTCCGGCACAGCCCACCGCCGCGGCCACTCGGAGCCGCTGCTGCCCGCGCCTTCCACTGGCCGGGCCGTGGGGGTACGCCCGCTCCGCCCAGCCCAGGCCCGCGCGGCCCCCGCGCCACCCGGCGTCCCCCTCAGACCCCCGCGGGTCCCGGAGGCCCCGCGCGCGAGGTTGGCAGGTGCCGGGCGCGAAGCGGCCGCGCGGGGGAGGCGCGGGATGGCGGCGGGCGGCGCAGGGTCCCCCTCTGGCGGTGGCGCGATGGTGCGCGCCGCCTGGGGAGCTGCGGCCGGGGGTTTGAACCGGCCAACTTCTCCAGCCGGCCGGGGCGAGCGCCAGCGCGGCGTCCGGGGCGAGTGAGTGCGGGGCGGGGGCAGCGGCCGGGCGCCTGGGCCGCCGGTCGGGCCACCTGCTGCCCGGGGAAGGATAGCGTTGCGAGAGTGGGACGGGGTGCCCCGGGAACCCCTGATCCACCTAGGGCAGAGGGCAGCGAGCTACGGGCCGGACTCGGGCACTCTGGAGGCGGGCGAGCTCGGGCTGCCTGGGGAGGCCGCAGGCGATGGCGTGTGCGCGGCTCGCGGAGCTTCCTAGCCGTGCGCCCACCCCCTCTGCCTTGGAAGGAAAGGGGATTCTAAGCCCAAGATGCCATCGCCCCCCATCCCGGGCATGCTTTCATTGCTCTTTCCTGGCGGGATCGAGTACTGTAACTTCTAGGAGCCAGATCCCCGCCCCAGGAAGCGCCCCTACTTGGAGTCCTCGGAAACTCTTGCCCCACCCGCTTCTGCGCTGGGCCCCCGGGCCGGCTGGGAGGGGCGGGGCCGGCTTTCCAGAGGGAATCTGCAAACTTATCCCGCTGCACGCCCCAGCCTCGCTGGCTTGCTGTAAACAAGGAACCCGGGGGAGTGCGGAGGGAGAAAGAGCTTCTCCCAGGCCTCACCCTACTGCACACACCGACTTCCTTCCTCACGCCTGTCTCTCTTTCCTGGTTCCCACCCGTGCCAGGTGACACGCAGAGCTGAAGCCATGGTTCATCAGGTGCTCTACCGGGCGCTGGTCTCCACCAAGTGGCTGGCGGAGTCCATCAGGACTGGCAAGCTGGGGCCCGGCCTGCGGGTGCTGGACGCGTCCTGGTACTCACCAGGCACCCGAGAGGCCCGCAAGGAGTACCTCGAGCGCCACGTACCCGGCGCCTCTTTCTTTGACATAGAAGAGTGCCGGGACACGGCGTCGCCCTACGAGATGATGCTGCCCAGCGAGGCTGGCTTCGCCGAGTATGTGGGCCGCCTGGGCATCAGCAACCACACGCACGTGGTGGTGTATGATGGTGAACACCTGGGCAGCTTCTATGCTCCCCGGGTCTGGTGGATGTTCCGTGTGTTTGGCCACCGCACCGTATCAGTGCTCAATGGTGGCTTCCGGAACTGGCTGAAGGAGGGCCACCCGGTGACATCCGAGCCCTCACGCCCAGAACCGGCCGTCTTCAAAGCCACACTGGACCGCTCCCTGCTCAAGACCTACGAGCAGGTGCTGGAGAACCTTGAATCTAAGAGGTTCCAGCTGGTGGATTCAAGGTCTCAAGGGCGGTTCCTGGGCACCGAGCCGGAGCCGGATGCAGTAGGTAGGTGTCCCAGTGCTGGGTGGTCCCTGGGGAGTATTGCCCCATGGAAGGATAGGGAGTAAGGATGACTGGGACCCTCTCCAGGGTCCGTCCCATGCCTTCAATCCTCCCATGTAGGCCTCAGTCTTTCCATCGATAAAACCAGAAAGTGGAGACAAACCTAAAGGCTTTTTCAGCTTGGATGCACAAGGACCCAAGAATGTGTCCTCATAGCCATGTGCTAAGAAGCCACCTAGCATCTGTGTGAGCAGAAGTCACTGGTGACATGTCCACCACCTCCACTCCCAGGCACCAGCTGCCCCACATGTACTAGGATATACCTAAGGGTGTCATGCCCCTGAGCCAGCGTTTGCATTGCTGTACAGAAACCTCCCACGGACACATCCAGCTTCTCCAGGCCTCTCTCGTCCCGCAGAAACCCTTATAGACATCAACAGTGTCCCTCCCCGCAGGATCCCCCTCTCCCCAAATCTAGCTCTCCTGGGGCCCCTGCCTGCTGTTTGCAAAGGTTCCATAACCTTTCCAGGCAGCTGCAGCCCGTCGGCAGAGTTGTAACAGCAGCTGCCATTTCATGCCAGACACTTGGCACCGCATTATCTCAGCGAACAAAGCTCAATGCCCCTGTTTTGGCAGCGGGGGGTGGGGGGACTGAGATGCCAGGACATAAAGTGGTGGAAGGCAGGATTCGAATCCAATGCTGCCTTGTTTCAAACCAGGGCTATAAACCAGGACGCACCCAATGCTGCCCTACCCCTACTTCCCAGGGCCAGGAGGGAGTCCCCTCTGCTAGTTGCCCCAGGAAGGCGACTCAGAAGTTCCCCTCCTGTGGAAGGGAAGGCCAGGTGGATTGGATACTGCTTGAGGGTTGGGGAGAGCCTCAGGAGAGGAAATGCTGAGTTCTAGAACCTCCTAGCCAGACAGAACCTCGGAGGTCTTCCCTTTTCTAGAGGCAGGACTGCCGTCTCGCTGCCATCACTCCTGCTGAGTGCCCTCCAGTCCCTGCCTGGCCATTTCCAGGAGCAGGGCCCTCTCTTGTCTCTGGGCACCTCCTTGGTGGCTCTTTCCTCAGTCAGAGCTCCTTCTCTACAGAATCTAACTCGTGTGCAACATTTTGCCTGACTTGTTGAAAAACATCTCTTCCTGTCTGTACCTCCTACAGAGAGAATGCTGGGAAAACTGTTCTGCACACTCTTAGAGCTGGAGGGCCTGAACGGTGACCTCACCTGACAGAGGGGAGACTGAGGTGCACAGAGGCAGGGGCCAAGGCCGCATAGCTAGTTAGTG
Source organism: Homo sapiens (assembly GCF_000001405.40). Classification (NCBI taxonomy): domain Eukaryota; kingdom Metazoa; phylum Chordata; class Mammalia; order Primates; family Hominidae; genus Homo; species Homo sapiens. The sequence goes on along the minus strand of NC_000022.11, from coordinate 37,016,853 downwards.
ACAGAGCCAGGACAGCAGGGTCTCTGCCCTTTCCAGCGCAGCTTTTTCCAGGCCCCATATTTTTCTTGCCTGCTTGCTCTCTGAAGGTCTGGAGTTGAAGATTCAAGTTCATTTGGCACCTCCCAGAGAATCCTGGCTGGGAACGCCTGCAGCCCTCTCCTGGCCTTGGTTCAAGACGCCTCTTCTCCTTGGGATTTAAGCTGTCATGGGGGAGGATCAGTGGAATTGGTTCTCTTGCTGCTTCCCAGCCTGCCCTGAAGCAACCTAAGAAATAAGTGGAAGGGACAGCTTGGAGGTGCCAGGCCCAATGTCCTCACCCATTTTACAGATGAGGAAACTGAGGCTCAGAGGAGGAGAATGGCCTGCAGTGGGTAATGCCTCCTGAAGGCCCGGGATGCTGAAGTTCCTCCTCTGTAATTGTGTTCACACCTCCTTCAGTTTCCCTCAGGAGCATCAGGGAACATGGATTCTCATTTCAGCTCAGCCACTCCTCCTTGGAGTGACCTCAGTCCAGTTGCTTGGCCTCTCTGGGTTTCCTTATCATAAAATGAGAAGAGTCACGCCAGCCCTACCCACATGAGTATGCATTTGTTTAAATGTAGCAGTGGCGGCCGGGCGTGGTGGCTCACGCCTGTAATCCCAGCACCTTGGGAGACCAAGGTGGGCGGATCATGAGCTCGGGAGTTCGAGACCAGCCTGACCAACATGGTGAAACCCCGTCGCTACTAAAATGAAAAAAAAATTAGCCAGGCGTTGGTGGTACGTGCCTGTAATCCTAGCTACTTGGGAGGCTGAGGCAGGAGAATCGCTTGAACCCGGGAGGTGGAGGTTGCAGTGAGCCAAGATCGCGCCACTGCACTCCAGCCTGGGCAACAGAACAAGACTCTGTCTCAAAAAAAAAAAAAAAAAAAAAAAAAAGTAGCAGTGGCTGGAAAGGGATTTCAAGAAGGGTAAGGAACGATACAAATCCTGGAGGGTGTGGCACTTCCCCCCCAACCCCCTCCTCCAAGAGGCTTTGCTGGCCTCCCATACAAGATATTTTGGGGACACAAAGGCACATGAGGCTCTGCCAAGTTTATGGTTCCCAGCGTGGTGTGGGATCAGGGAGGCACCCTGTAGGTTCAGCGGTCCAGATGTAACACACAGGGGCATGGGGGTGGCAGACCTGGGGGTCAGGCATTGGCCCTGATCATCTCTGGAAGGAATGACCCTAAATGGAGCGAGAAGCAGAGCTTAGACACCTGGCGGCCACTTCCTGCTCACCTTAGGCAAGCGCCTTCCTCTTTGGCTGTAGTTTTGTGCCTCCACAAGCTCTTAGTCCTGGAGTCAGCCAGATCTGAGGTTCCATCCAGGTGTGATACTGATGCTTAGCCTCAGGCTAGTGCCTTCACCGCTAACTGTTGTTCGTGAAAGGAGCGCTGCTCACCTGAGAGGAGGGCTGGAGGAAGTGAGAGAGGCAGAGTAGGAGTTTATCCAGCCCAGTTTCTTTATCGACTTAATTTTCTTTGCCTCCCTTCTTGGAGGGAGTGAGGGTGAAGAAGGGAGGAGGGTATCGACCCGCTAATGAGCACTTTTATTTACAGAACGCTTTTTATATAGTCTCTTCTGGACACCTACAGCAGCCCTGCAAGGGGAGGCAGGCAGGGGTAGGTAGGCTGGGTCCCACTTTGTGGGTGGGGACAAGGAAGGGGCTTCTCTGTTAAGACAAAGTGGCAGAGACTTGACCCCAGGTCGGCAGGCTTCAAGTTGGGGCTGTTTCCCAAGGCTACTGCTGTGGGTGGGGTGAGCTGTAAGCAAGCCCAGGGGCTGAGGGAAAGGTCACGGCTCCATGGTGTGGCTCCCGGGCTGCTGTATGGGACTGAAAATCCACTCTGCCTATCTCTCCCTCCCAGGGCTGGGAGCTTGGCTGAGGGAGGAGGGAAGGTGCAGGGCTGCCTCTTCCTGGCTAGGGTTAAGGGGTTGCCTTCTGGGGCTGCCTGCTCTGGATTCCTTAGTAAAAGGAGAAAGCGCCAGACAGCTTTTCCTGGCCTTAAAAATCCACACCTACCAGTGGCCTGAGGGATGTTAACTCTAGTAGTTGAGTACAAGAGGTCATCTCATCCATTCCCCAGCCTCAGTCTCCTTTTCCAGGGAGGCTCAGGGTGGTCAAAGAACACAGGCGTTGGGGGCAGACCAATCAGACTTACCTTTGCTGTGTGTCCTGAGGCAAGCGACATCACCTCTCTGAGCCTGGGCTCCCCCAGCAATGCTGAGAGAATAATCTCCCCTGCTTTGTGAGGATTGAGGAGGATAAAATTCTTGAGAGCACCTGCTGTCAAGTGCCTGGTGCCGCAGGTTATGGGAATGGGGGCATGCCTGCTGGGGGCAGGGAGAGCCAGAAGCCTTCAGCTAGACTTGGGAAGAGAAGCATGGGAGCCTCTGCTTTCTGGCCCAACGTGCCTTTCCACCAACTGGCTGTTCTTTTTGTTTGTTTGTTTGTTTTTTGAGACGGAGTCTCGCTCTGTCACCCAGGCTGGAGTGCAGTGGTGCGATCTTGGCTCATTTTAAGCTCCGCCTCCTGGGTTCACGCCATTCTGCTGCCTCAGCCTCCCGAGTAGCTGGGACTACAGGTGCCCACCACCACACCTGGCTGATTTTTTTTGTATGTGTGTTTTTAGTAGAGACGGGGTTTCACCGTGTTAGCCAGGATGGTCTCGATCTCCTGACCTCGTGATCCGCCCACCTCGGCCTCCCAAAGTACTGGGATTACAGGCGTAGCCACCGCGCCCGGCCAAACTGGCTGTTCTTGAAAGTTCTCTGGCCCAGGTTCATCTCAGCCCTTCCCACAGTTCATTTAAATGCCCCAGACAGGCCCTGAGCTCCCCTTGCTTCACCCCGTCCAGCTGGCCCAGTGTGGGAGGCCCGCTCTACAGAAACTCCCTGACTTCATCTTTACTCAGAAGGGGTGCCCTTTATGTAATAAGAAGAACACAGTGGGGCTGTGTCATCAGGGATGGGGACAACAAAACAGGATTCAACCCGTTGTGCTTTCAAATGCACTTCAATCCAGCCCACTGTGGAAACATTTTAAAGCTGGGTTTCTTGGGAAAGAATGCCCTCGATGCCAGCTGATCCATTGTTCCTCGTTGGTAGGGTGGGCACACATCTTAGATTCAAGTTTCCAGGCAAAGCAGGTGAAACACAACAGGAAGAAATTGCTCTAATTTTATACGTTATATGCAATCAAACTTCCTTTTTTAATTCATTATTATTATATTTTTGAGACAGAGTCTTGCTCTATCACCCAGGCTGGAGTGGCATGATCACAGCTCACTGCAGTCTCCTGGGCTCAAGTGATCCTCCTACCTCAGCCTGTCAAGTAGCTGGGACTACAGGTGCATGCCACCATGCCTGGCTCATTTTTTTTTTTTTTCTATAGAGATGGGGCCTTGCTATGTTACCCAACTCCTGGGCTCAAGCAATCCTTCCATCTGGGCCTCCCAAAGTGCTGGGATTACAGATGTAAGCCACCATGCCTGGCCTTTCTACTTTATTTTCAGGCTATTCAAGTGAAGCAGTGGGAGTGGAGAAGGAAGAAAGAAATCTGTAACTGGTGATCAGTTGATTGTAAACACCACTGCCAATCAAACTCGACTTGTACTAATAGATTTTGGAATCCTCTTTGGCCCCGGGGTGAAAGGACCAGGACATAGCTGGCGTGATGATGTACCGAATCGTGTGCCTGCCAGGGTCACTGGGTGCTTTTAGCTGCAGTAGTTAGACTTCCCCACACACCTGTGAGGTGGGTGAGGTTTACTTTTTTTTTTTCTTTGAGACGGAGTCTCGCTCTTGCTGCCTAGGCTGCAGTGCAATGGGGTGATCTCGGCTCACTGCAACCTCCGCCTCACAGGTTCAAGCGTTTCTCCTCCCTCAGCCTCCCGAGTAGCTGGGATTACAGGCGCATGCCACCATACCCGGCTAATTTTTTATATCTTTAGTAGAGACGGGTTTTCACCATGTTGACCAGGCTGGTCTTGAACTGACCTTGTGATCCACCCACCTCAGCCTCCCAAAGTGCTGGGACTACAGGCGTGAGCCACTGCATCCGGCCTAGGTGGGGTTTTGTCCCCGTTCTGCAGGAGGGAGACTGAGGCTCGGAGGTTCAGGGCCTGCTTGGCTGTACCCAGCCCCAGTATATGCCTTGGCCACACTAGTCAGATCCTTCCCCTCCCACTCCTGCCACCCTGCTCCTGCCCTGTCCCATAATCCAGGTTGAATGGGGGTGGGGATTTGGGGAGCAAGGAGGGCTCAAAGAGATGGAGATAGGCCTGTGTCAGGCCAAAGTGCAGGTTGGGCACTGGGAGTGGGGCCAACCATAGAGCCCCCACCCCTGCCAGGGTGTGGGCTGCTCGAGGAAGACAGGAGTGGCCTGGGGCATGTGTGAGATTGGCCTGTGGCCTCACCCTGTGGGTGGCACCAGCTCTGGCCATGGCTTTCCCCTTTGCCCCAATTCCTGGCTCTTCTGAAGCCAGATTTGGCCGAGGGCCCTCACTGGGTACTGAGACAGTTCCAGAAAGGACTCTAGAGCCAGCCGAGTCCCTCCACTCTGCTTCCATCCAAGTTCTTGGAGGGGACCAAAAAGGCCCACACTGTCCCTATTCTCCCCCTACCCCCTCCATGGGTGGTGAAGTGGCTGGGGGCGCAGCATGGCAGGGTGGGTGGGCCAGCCTCCAAAGCCAGCGCTTTCCTTGTGCCACCCGCTTCGTGCAGCAGCCAATACACAGTGGATACTCTCATTTCCATTTTTCCTATGGAGAAACTGAGGCTCAGAGAGCTGACATAACTTGCTCCAGTGGGATTTGACCTCACATCTGACACCAGGTCACTTGCTCTTTCTGCAACTGTGTGCTTAACAGAAAACCAGAGGCCCCGATGTAATCCTGGGTCTGCCTTCATCTTTCTGTGTGGCCTTAGGTGAGCCGTGTTGTTTTGCCAAGACTCAGCGGATTCATCTGTAAAATGGGGACATATCTGATTAGTTATGTGGTTATCTGTTTAGCATCTGCCTTTCTTGTTAGACTGGAATCTCCCAGAGGGCCTGGCTGTGTCTCTGCCTTTCACCGCTGTGTTCTCAGCACATAGCATTTGCAATAAGTTGTCCCATTTGCTCTTCTCAACATGGCTGTGAGATAGGTATGTACCACTGAGCCCATTTTACAGATGAGAAAACTGAGGTTCAGAGAAGTGAAATGATTTGCCCAAGGTAAAGGTTAGTGGAGCTGAGACTCATGCCGCTGTCTTCTCAAGCAGGTGTGATTTTGGGCATCTCTACTTCAAGACAGGTGTTAGGAGAGGAGTTGCAGGCATCTTAAGTCATGAGAAATGATAATAGGTGGGGCTGGGAATAAATTGAGCTCCAAGCAGAGCAAAGATGTTATTTTTATTTGCAAAGCTATCTATCCTTCCAGCTATAGCTGATGGAATCCTCCAGGCCCCATTAGTCCCCACCCCTCATACATCCCCTAAGCTGTGTCCTCTGCCCTGCCCAGGACTGGACTCGGGCCATATCCGTGGTGCCGTCAACATGCCTTTCATGGACTTCCTGACTGAGGATGGCTTCGAGAAGGGCCCAGAAGAGCTCCGTGCTCTGTTCCAGACCAAGAAGGTGGATCTCTCGCAGCCTCTCATTGCCACGTGCCGCAAGGGAGTCACCGCCTGCCACGTGGCCTTGGCTGCCTACCTCTGCGGCAAGCCTGATGTGGCCGTGTACGATGGCTCCTGGTCCGAGTGGTTTCGCCGGGCCCCCCCAGAGAGCCGTGTGTCCCAGGGAAAGTCTGAGAAGGCCTGAGCCGTGACCTCTTCTGCTTACTGTAACTGCGGCCGGTTTAGTGACCCCATGACTTACAGCCGGTTCTTACCTCTTAGGTGAAGGAGATGACATGTTTTTAGAATTGCTGTGCAAGGCTCACCCTCTCTCTGTCAACACTGGAATAAACTTTGCCTTTTCTGAGTAGTGTGTTTGCCTGCCTCTCTCTGGGCTCCATCCTTGCCCCCAAACTTCCATCTCTTTCAAACTCCGGAGACTCCACCAAGGACAGAGACCACCATAGCCCCTCTGGCTGGGGAAGCCATACCGAGGACACCACTTTCACCCAGTTTTGGCAGAAACAGCCTCCTGCTGTCCCATGTCAGGTGGACTCTGTCCCAGAGCATGCTGGGTCCTACCAGGAAGACAGGTGGGAAGGGAACCAGAAAGCCAGAGAGCTGAAGCCCCAGCTGCTGTAGCCCCAGCCTCCTGGGTAGGGGCGGAGGGACAGCTGGCTTTCCCAATATGTCCATAGAGGTGTCACACAGACCCAGGGCCTCTCAGAAGAGGCCATGCTCAGGAGCAGGTGAAAGGAAGGTGGCCTCTGTCTCGAGCACCTTTTCTGGCTCAGAGTAAGACCCCCTGGGGAGCAGTGGAGGGAGGGGCTGGAGAAAGAGCTTTGGCCCTGGGAGAAGGTCCAGGCTCTGGCAGGTGAATCAGGAAGCCACAGTAGAAGAAAGCAACCTGATAGCTTGGCCCCATGTGGCTGGATTTCAAGTTTCCCAGAAACAGCCTCTCTTAGACCTCCTTTGGGGTTGCAAGAAGAATTCCGGGCCCCACCTACTGGGGACTACCGGCTCCCCACTATCCAGCCTTCCCAGTGAAGACAGGATCCTGGAGGGCCGGAGACCAAGTCTGTCCTTGGCTTGGCATTGGGGCAAATAGGTGCTCAGGAGATGCTGAGGAGGTTGGTTTTGGGGCTGGCAGGTTGGGTGATGGGGCTGAATGCTGAGGCCGGTGGGACCTGTAGTGGTGGGACTGGTAGTCTGGAGGGTTGACCCCTCTCACTTCCATGCCACTAACAAAACAGTCCTCTTCCCAGCTCACATGTGGCTCAGATCCTACTGTGGGAAGAAGAAGCAAATATACACAGTATGTCAGATGGCAATAAGGTGCAATGGTAGAAAAGGTTGGAAAATAGGAGTAGGGAGTGTGGGGTGGGCTGGGATGCTTTTTAAGAAAAGGTGGTCTGGGAAGGTGAGCAGAGTCTTGAAGGAGGTGAAGAGGCAAGCCATGTAGGCATGTGGGGGAAGGAAGTTGCAGGAGAGGAGAGGGAACAGCCCGTGCAAAGGCCCCGAGGAGGGACTGTGCTTGGTGTGCCCAAAAAACAGCAGAGCCTGGCATGGCAGGGACCCAGGGAGCACTTGGGAAAGTGAGAGGAGCAGAGGTCAGAGAAAAATGGTGGACAGGTTGGGTAGGGCCTTGCAGATAAATGGGAGGATGTCAGCTTTTACTGTGGTTGAGCTGGAAGGTTTTGTTTAGAGGGGTGACATATGATCTAATATAGGTCTTAACAGGATTGCTGGGCTGTTGAGTGAGAAGACTGTCAGAGGATATGGTGGACTCCAGGGTGGTCCCCATATTATCTGCCCCCTCGTGTTCATGCCCCGTGTGACCCTCTCCCTTTCACTGCGGGTGGGACCCGTGACTTGCTTTTAACCAACAGCCTACGGCAAAGGTGATGGATGCCACTTCTGTGACTATGGTACACAACATTGTAATGCCCCATCTTGCAAGGGGACTCCCTCTTTGCTGGCTTTGATGAAGTCAGTGTCATGTTGGTGTTGGGGGGCCCACATAGCAAGGAACTGAGGATGGCCTCTGGCTGACAGCCAGAGAGAGCCTGAGACCCTCAGTCTAACAGACTGCAAGGAACTGAATCCTCCCACAGCCACATGAGCTTGGAAGCATATTCTTCCCTAGTGGAACCTCAGATGAGACTGCAGCCCTGGCCAATACTTGGATTGTAGCCTGCTAAGACCCCAATGCAGAGAACTCAGCTAAGCCATGAGTAGACACCCGACCCAAAGAAACTGTGAGATAACAGTTGTATGTTAAGCTTCGAAGTTTATGGCAAGATTGTCGTGCAGCAATAGATAATACTTAGGCAAGAGATGAGGGTGGCTTGGACCAGGGAGTAGGGGGAGTTGTGGAGGTGGACGAAGGCATCCAAATCTAGTGTACTTCGAAGGACTTGCTGATGGGTTGCTTGCGGAAGTAGCTTAGAGTTTTGTGATGTCTCTCTCTGTGCAAGGCAATGTGCTACATTTTGCAAAAAATTGTTTTATTCGCCCATCACCCTTATCCTTAGTGTTGGGTGATATCTGTTTCACATGTGAAGGAAGTTCAGCTAAAGGACTTGGCCAGTCTCTTATCTAATAAGTGACAGGCCCAGATTCTGGGGACTCCAAGTTTAACCACAGCACTCTCTGTTTCCTGGGGAAATCCTGAAAGGCTGGGCTTGCAGGAGGCGTTCACTATACCCACTCTTTGTCCAGGCTGAGCAACAGCCAGACAGGAATGGGCCAGTGCTGGCACCAATGACTTCTGCCTCCTTCTTCTCTGCAGAAAAGAAGTCACTTAATTTTGTTGATCTCCTTCTGTAGCCCTTGTTGTTTAGGAATAGGAGAGAGGACCCTTCCTTTAGTTTTACTCCCAGGTCCCTGATCCCTGGGTGTCCAAATCAGACAGCTCCAGATGCATCTTTCTCCTTCCCCATTGACCTCGACCTACATTTATGCTGTTATACACATCCATGCCTTTAATATTCTCATCCCTTCAAAACTGTTAAGTTCCTAGGCATCCTTCAAGATCCAACTCAAATGGCTCTTTCATAAGTCCTTCCTCCTTTTTCCTACACAGAGCTAGTTCTTCTCCCTACTTAGTGCTTTGAGCTCCCAAGAACATCTTTTGCACTTGGTAGCATCTGAGCCCCCTGTGCCTGGCACACCTGGCATGTAGTGGGGGCTCAACTGACATTCTAGAGTGGATGAGAGAGTGAACAATAATTGAAGCCCCTCCTGCCTTTTCCTGGCCTCAATCCTGGCTTTCTCCTGGCCTCTTTTCCCTACGGGTGGGCCTATCAGCCCTCTGAGGTAACAGAGCCCTGTGTATAGTGATCACCATGGCAACTCCAATGAACATCTTGGGGAGGGCCACTTCCCAGCAACCATCCATTGGTCTTCACCAGTAGTTCTGCAGTGGGGATCTGCACTTCTGGGCTTCAGCACACATCAGTGTGGTTCACGTGTTTCCTGCTGTTATGAAAGAGATTGGAGAGGTGAGGCAGAGACTTATGAAGGGCCAGGGTTCTTCCAGGACATGGGGTTTCATCTTCCTTCTCCCCATTCAGAGTTGCTTGTGAGTGAAGACTGCCTAGACTGGACTTACCTTCCCGCCCTCTTTGACCAAAGTCTCTTGGGATCTCTCTCTCTGGGTCAGAAACTGGAAGTGAGTCCACACTTCCATTGTAGCCCGTCCAGACTGCTGTGGACTGGCAGTGCACTGGGACGTACAGAGCTGCCGTGGGCACGTCAGGTTGGTGGCTGGGGATAGGAGGAGAAAGAAAACTTGGAGCTAACTTGAACTTCACCTAGCTTGAAGATGTGCAATTTAATTTTAGCCCCACCTGGTGAAGTCCTGTGTCTTTTCGGAGCCTCATTTTCTCCATCTGTGAAAGAAGATAAATTAGTAGTGTCTCCGAACACCTTACTGGGTATTTGTGAAGACCAGACTAATTTACCAGATGTGAGAATGCTTGACATGGACTTGTGTTAGTTATCTCTTGCTGCACAACAAATCACCCCAAAACTTAGTGGGCTTAAGACAACATTTACTATCTCACAGTTTCTGTGAGTTGGGAATACCGGTGGAGTGTTGGTGATTTTTCTGTCCCAGGGTCTCTCACAGGCTGCAATCAAGGTGTTGCTTGGGTCTCTAGTCTCATCTCAAAGCTCGACCAGAGAAGGAACCCATTCACATGGCAGGATCCAGCTACTCTGGAGCTGTTGGCAAGAGGCCACTCTGAGTTCCTTGCCCTGTGGACCTCTCCATAGGGCATCTCACAACAGGGAAACTGGCTTCTGTCAGAGAAGATGAGCTGAGGAGAGCTGCAGAGAGTGTGTGAAAAAGACAGAAGTTGTAGTCTCTTATAAGTTCATCATGGATGCAACATCCCTCATTTTTGCCACATTCCATTCATCACTATGTCCAGTCCACACCAAAGGGGAGAGAATTATACCAAGAAACAGGGATCATTGGGAGCCATGTCAACTGCCTGCCACTCTCTGCCCTCTGGCCCCCAATAATGTACATCCCTTCCACATGCAAAATATAGTCATCCCCTCCTAAGATCTTTAAAATTCTCATCCTATTAAAGCATCAGTTTAAAAGCTAGAATCTGGTCATATAAATCAGCTCCAGGTGTGGCTGAGGCTCCTCCAGTGTCGTTCCTTAAGTACAGCTTCTCAGATTCAATTCTTCCCCATCATAGATCTGTGAAACTAAGTAATTTGCCCTGAACACACCTAACATACAGTGATGTGATAGGCATAGGATAAGAACTAGTGACATTCCTATTCAAAATTGAGGAAAATGGAGACATGGAGTCAATGTTCCATAGCGGTTTTGAAATCCAGCCACACAAATGTTGGACATTCCTTGATTAGGTTTCAAGGCCTGGGGATAATTCTCCATGGCTCTCAGCTCTGCCTTCTGGACTCTTGCATCCACTCTCTGACTTGTCTTTTTTATTTTTATTTTTTGTTCAATGGTATCTTTTCATTTTGTACTGTCTCTATCCCTTTTACCCGAAGTTGCCAACATTTTGCTGATGTTATTTTCTCAACAGTAAAACTTACAGGGGTTCACTCCATTGAACAAAAGTCACACCCCTTTTTAACTGAGGCTCCTGTTGAGGAGCCTTAAGCTTCCTAGAGGTCCTATGGTTCTGTTAAGAGGATATATCAGGCATCTCTTTAATCTCTTTAAAGCACCCTTTGTTTGACAGAGTAATACCCTCATCCTTTGATCTTTCTGAAGTTTTAACAACAGGTCGCACAGTCACACTCCTGGGCACACTTTCCAGACAGCCTTCTGAAGCTATTTCTTAATTTTAGCATCTTTTGGGATCTGGAAAGGATGAGACTTCAGAACCATTAAGTACTGGCATCTTTTTGTTTAACAGTCCCTTCTTCAATTCATCACCTTCCTCTCACATTTCACTACAAGCAGCAAGAAGAAAGTAAGAGGCAACTACCATCTTTTCTTTGGAACTCTTTAGCTAAATCATTCAGTTCATTAGTCACATAACTGCAGATGACAGTGTCACTGTTTCTGCCACTACATAACAAGGGTCTTTCTTCCACTATTTCTAGTAATATATTCCTCACTTCCATTTGGGCCCTCACTCACTGCATCTTCCAACTCCAGATTTCTGCTTAAAAAAAAAAAAAAACTGTTTAAGGTGATTTAGGCTTTTTCTATCATGCTTCTCAAAATCCTTATAGACTCTGACCACCGCTTGGTTCCAAGTTCAGTCCCAAATTTTTAAGTATTTGTTATAGCAACACCCCACTGTTAGTACCAAAATATGTATTAGCTATGTATTGCTGCGTAACAAATGACCATAAAGCTTAGAAGTTTGACACTGTATGTTTAAAACAGTACAAATTTATGATCTCAGAACTTATAGGAGTCAGGATGCTCACTTGGCTGGGTCCTCTGGCCCAGGGTATCCCACAGGCTGTAATGAAAGTGTCATCCAGGCTGTGTTCTCATATCAAGGCTCAACTGGGGAAGGATCCACTTTCAAGCTCATTCAGGTGTCAGGATTCATTCAGTTCTTCAAAGACTGTTGGACTCAGGGCTTCTATTCTTTATGAGCTTTTGGCCAGAAGTCACCCTCAGTTTCTTGCTCCATGGGCTGCTCCACAGGGCAGCTCAAAACACGGCATTTGCTGTCATCAGAATGAGCAAACCAAGGAGAACCAGGGAAAGAGAGCAAACAAAACCGAAGTCACAGGCCGGGCACGGTGGCTCACACCTGTAATCCCAGCACTTTGGGAGGCTGAGGCGGGTGGATCACTTGAGGCCAGGAGTTAGAGATCAGCCTGGCCAACATGGTGAAACCCTGTCTCTACTAAAAATACAAAAATTAGCCAGATGTGGTGGTGCACACCTGTAATCCCAGCTACTCAGGAGGCTGAGGTGGGAGAATTGCTTGAACTTGGGAGGTGGAGGTTGCAGTGAGCTGAGATTGCACTACTGTACTCCAGCCTGGGTGACAGAGTAAGACCCTGTCTCAAAAAAAAAAAAGAAAGATCACATAAGAAAACAAAACACAAGCACGAAAGCTGCAGAGGCTTTTGAATCTACCCCTCTAATTTGAATCCAAGGCCTTAGAGAGAAGACTGAGTTTACACCAGAGCAAAGTGTGGGTTCCTGCTCTTGGTTCTCCTTCGTGGTGGCTAAGCTGCTTCCCTTCCCTGAGCACGAACGACCATTCAGCAAATGGATACAATCCTATTTGCAGGAAGACAAATGGTTGCCAGGATGGGAGCCGGGGCAATGGGCTTCACAGCCAGGGGCCTGCTAGGGTCTCCTAGGGTGGTGGTGATGGGGCAGAAGAGGAGGAGGAGATGAAAGGAAAAATTATGAAGGAGTAAAATGAGCCCAGGGTTCCAAGGCTGCTTGAGATAGGTCTTTGAGGACTGGTGGGGTGGGGTGGGGGTGGCCAGGGCTTTTCAGAGAGGGCAGAGGCTGCAGAAGTCCAGGAGGCAGCCCCTGTGCCAGGGGTGATGAGTGAATGGGGCAGAGGCTCCGTGGGTCTGGGCAGTGCCAGAGGGCACCAGGGGCAGCTTAGGAACCTCTGATCAGGGGCGGGCAGACAGCCACAGGCCTTCCTGTTCAGCTCCCAGCTCATCCTTGTTCACAGAAACTCTGTGTGTTATCTGAGACGATGAAACGTGGTGCTTTGTTTACAGGACTAAGCTTGGAATTGCCTGTCCCACAGCAAGAGGCTATGGAGCTGGGCCACGGAGCAGGTAGGACAGGCAGACCAGGGATGTGCTGAATGCACATCCAGGCTTCTGGAGGGACTCCCTGGGGCAGCAGGGCACCGGCCCTTTCTCCTCCCGCTCCGTCTTGTGTTGGCCTCCAGACCCACCATCGGCCCAGGCTTCCTAGGGGGGCATTCTGTTGGAAGACAGAAGGAAAAAGGAGGGAACGGAATTACTGAGCCCTCCCATCCTGCCATGTGCAGGGATTATCACCCCGATATGGTCTCCATCCTGAGGGGGTGACTCAGGTGCTCTGAGTCTTGTGTGTACCAGAAGGGCAGGGCTGTGGGGGAACATGGTGAGGGGCCTGGCCTCAATGGATGGGAGGTATATATGGGGTTACACGTGAGCCAAGAGCAGGGGTAGTGTAGCCCAAGGAGTGGAGGGGAGTGTTCCAGGCAGGAGAAATAGCTCAGGCAAAGGCTTGGGAGGGAGAGACGGCTGGCACTTTTGTGGAGTCCCGAGAGCAGGCACTCTGCCCTGAGGACAAGAGGAAAGATTTTGATGCAGGCGTGACTGAGTCAGGCCCGCTCTGAGAATGGTCCCCAGGGGTGAGTGCAGGTTGGCTGGGGCTGGCAGGTGGGATGGGGAGAAGAGAGTCCAGTGAGTTGGGGCAGCGATCCTGCTAAAATCTTCCTCCAATGACCTGAATGCCCAGGGGCTTGTTAAACACTCAGATTCAGGGCCTTTCTGATGCAGCAGCTCTGAGAGGGTCCCAGGCATCTGTATTTTTAATGAGAGCCTAGGGAATCCTCATACATGGCCACATTTAGATAAACTCTGCGGAGGTTTATCATCCAGGGGATATGATGGTTTAGCTTGGGCTCAGAGGCCTGACGGCCAAGATGCCCAGCCCTTATGTATCTTTTAAGAGGACTTGAAGTTTTGGAGGGAAGACCACCAAACATATTTACAGCTGTAATCTGGGGTGGAGGATGAGGCCAGGCTGTGAGGAGACACTGAAGGCTGAGAGCAAGAGACCTAGAGAAGCGGAGGCTGTGGGCAGGGACGTGGGAGACAGGGAGAGGCGGGGAGGAGAGAGCCTGGGAGGTGGCTGGGATGGTGCCACTTCTCAGCCCTGGCGAAGGGAGGAGGTAGGTATTGGGGAGCAGTCTTGCATTGGAAGCAAAGTCTGGAAGTCCCATCCAACTCCAGTACTTCCCAGGCATGTGGCTTAGCCCCAGGAACGCCTCTGCCAGTGCCGCTGCTGCCAGATTCTCACTGCGGAGAGTGAGGGGGAGGTTTCAAGATGGAAAAGTGGGGAAGGGAACTATCCAAATGGAGCCAGGGACATGAAAGCACAGACAGGCCAAGTCCCTTGCTTGCGGTCACACAGCTAGGCCTCAAGGCGGGACAGGCTTAGGCGGCAGCCCTTGTTGCCCCAGGCAATGTGGACTAACCCTGCCCGTGGGAGGCACGCAGGCTGGCCTCTCTTCTCCCATTGTGTCTCCTAATTTCCCACCCATGCCTCTGGTTCCTGCGCTTCCTCTCCGTCCCTCTCCCCTTCTCTGGCTGTGGAGCTCTGGGGCTCTTTGTCTGTCCGTTTCCCCTCCTCACCCCCATCTCTGCCCCCTCCCCACCCTCTACTTTCTGCCCTTGTCTGCGTGTCTCTCTCCCTCCCCCTCTGTTTCTCTTTGTCCTGCTCAGGTACAACCACTTTCACCAGGGCCCATCTGAATGACAAGGAGGGCCAACAGGACTTGGACCCCTGGAAAGCGGCCTACAGTTCCTTGGACACCTCCAAGTTCAAGAACCAGGGTCTGTCATCCCCACAGCCCCTGCCCCTGGGAGCCAGCGCTCAAGGCAGCTCCCTAGGGCAGTGCCACTTGAAGGAGATTCCCCCTCCACCCCCGACTGCTGCCAGCAGGGATTCTCTGGGCATGGACCCACAGTCCAGGTCCCTGAAGAATGCGGGCTCTCGATCCTCCTCGAGAGAGAACAGGGCCACCTCGGGAGAGGGGGCTCAGCCATGCCAGGGGACGGATGACGGTCCCAGCTTGGGGGCTCAGGACCAGAGGAGCACGCCCACGAACCAGAAGGGCAGCATCATTCCTAACAACATTCGCCACAAGTTTGGGAGCAATGTGGTGGACCAGCTGGTCTCCGAGGAGCAGGTGTCATAGCAGGGGCCAGGAGGGTGATGCAGAGTCTTATAATGAGGACATAAGATAAACTCACTCTTGAGTACAGAGTCCCTATAATAATACCACTAGAAAGCAGTATCTCCTGAGCATCTGCTGTGTGCCAAACACTGTGCACTGTTTAAACTTCACATATAACAAGTTGTTACATCTTCCCAGCAACCCATGAGGAAGGTACTATTATTGTCCTCATTTTATAGATAAGGAGACCGAGGCTTAGAGGAGTTAAGTCAGTCAACCAAATTCACCTAACTGTGCGAGACGAGGGTGCAAACTGGGTCGGCAGATTCTGGAACTCTGATCCTTAATGACTTTGCAGTTAAAAGCCTTTTGTGTGAATTGGATGTTTTCCATGTGATCAAGTCTCCCAAAGAAGACAGCATTTAGTGGATGGATAGCATTTATTGGGAATCAGAAGACGTGCGTTTGAATCCTGGACCTGATCCTAAATGCTGGATGACTTTGGATAAGTTACTTACCCTCTCTGGGCTTCAGTCTCCACATCTGTAAAGCGAGGCAGTTGCACTAGATCAGGCTGACAAATACATGGTGAGCGTATCACAACCCTCCCAGCCTGCATTCATGGCAGACATCACTAGTCAATGCCAGCACTCTTTTCCACCCGATATAGCATTCCAGGCAGTCATTACAAATCAACTGACACGAGATAAAATTCATCTACCGTTTCTGGTCAAATGCTATGTTCTTTCTGTCCTGGCATTCTGAGACATATTTTTAAAGCCACCATCTCAACCCTCATAGCAACTGCATTGTGTGGAAGGTCAGGCAGGAGTTATTGCTTCCTTTATAACAGATAGTATAACCAAGTCCCAAGGAGGGGCTACGATCTGCTTGGGTCACAAAAGCTGGGGGTCAGGCTTCTCCTAGGCTCCCCTTCCACTCTGTCATCTTAAAGTGCAGTGACCCCACCACCAGCAAGTCTGGAAGGTCACAGTCTTGACATGTTCTGCCCCACTTGGAGGAACTTGTCCCAATTTGAGGTTGACTCTGTGGTCACCACCTCTCACCACCCTGCCCAGCCTTGGGAGAAGTCCTTTCTCTCTTCAGCCACCGTTGTCCCTGGCTGGAATCAAGAAATCCGTGTTTTCTGCCCATCTGTAACTTATGTCACAAGTGTCATTGAGCCAGCAAGTGTCAGAGCTGGAAGCCACTTCAAAGACCATCCAGTTCCACCCTGCCTTCACATTTTACATGTAGGGAAACTGAGGCCTAGAGTGGAGAAGAGGCTTGCTGAAGTCAACAGCTGATATATTGCAGAACTGGAACTCAAACCTAGGTGTCCTGCCCCTGGACCTGGGCTCAGCTTCTCTGTGTGTCAGTTTCCCTATTGGTATGAAGAGGGAGTTGGCCTCATTGAAAGTTAAGCACCCACCCAGAGCTGCCCTGTGTGGTGCCTCAGTTGTAGGAGGCAAGCCAGGGCTCTGTGCCCTGCCAGCCATGTGAACTGGGTGATCTTTGGTCTCCTGAGGCCCGCTTTCCTCATTTATAAAATGGTGGGAAGAGTGGCACCCTATAGAGACCCCCCGTCCCAATGTTGCAGGTAGCAGATGCTCAATGCTTGGAAGAGGTTTTATGATCATTAACTTGATGCCCCCCACCCACAGCAGTGCAGATGATGAGAGGAGTTGGGGCTGGGGCCTTTGTATACCCCAGCTCCCCAGCCCTGTGAATAGGTTGAGGGCTGCAGGCTACAGGTGGGATCGGGGTGGGGAGGGCAGGGTCAAGGGAGGAGGAGTTGGAGGGAGATATGGGGCTTGAAACTGCTTTTCCATCCCCTGTCTGTCATCCCTGCCTCCCTGCTCAGGCTCAAAAGGCTATTGATGAAGTCTTCGAGGGCCAGAAAAGGGCAAGCTCATGGCCCAGCAGGACCCAGAATCCTGTGGAAATCTCCTCCGTCTTCTCAGACTACTATGACCTCGGCTACAACATGCGGTCAAACTTGTTTCGAGGTCAAGTCAAAGGGCAAGGGTGGGGCCGTGAACACCCATGGTCTCCCAGGCATTGGGCAGGGAAGGCCTTTGGGGTTTCCACTCCATATGGGGTCTAGGACCCCAGGGCACATCTTCAAGGACACTTATTTCATGCCCATGTGTCCTCTATGTCAGCTTGCGAGTGCTGGGAACATCCAGTCCCCTGTCCTTGATGTGTGGATGATTCATCCCAGTTGGCAGTCAGGCACCTCTGGTCCCTCCCCTCCCATCCCCCCCTCCCCTCCCCTCCCCCCTCCCCTCCCCTTCTCTCCCCTCCCCTCCCCTCCCCTCCCCTCCCCTTCCCTTTCCTTCCCTTCTTTTGTTTTTTGAAGTCTCACTCTGTTGCCCAGGCTGGGGTGCAGTGGCACAATCTTGGCTCACTGAAATCACCACCTCACAGGCTCAAGAAAGCAACCCTCCCACCTCAGCTACCCCCCTGCCCCCATAAGTAGCTGGGACCACAGATGCGCGCCACCATACCTGGCTAATTTTTTTCTTTTCTGTTTTTTTTTTTTTGTATTTTTGCTAGAGGCAAGGTTTCACCATATTGCCCAGGCTGGTCTCAAACTCCTGGGCTCAAGTGATTCACCCACCTTGGCCTCTCAAAGTGCTGGGATTACAGGCATGAGTCACTGCGCCCTCCCCACCTCTTGTTCTTAATCTGCCAGTAGGAGGCCCAGGACCCAGTAGAACTGGGACTGCTGCTCCCCACACCCCTAGCCCCATCCCAGGCACCTTTGGTCACAGTGACAATATCAAGTTTCTTTGGTTCAAAGCTCAGCTCAGCCACTCACTAGCTGGGTATGACCTTAGGTGGGATCCTCAACCTCTGCAAGCCTCCGCTGCCTTCTCGGTACAGTGGGGATGATAATGAGAGTATGGCCCTTGCTGGGTCATTGGCAGGACTTTATGAAGTGCCACATGAAGGTGCTTGGCCGAGGCAAGTCGTGAGCACTCAGTAGCTGTCAGGCTATCATTTTTCTTCTCCAGAGCCTGGAGGTGGCGCCACCTGGGAAGAAAGGAAGGGTGGGTTGGAGGCTCTGACATTTACACAGGGTTTCCATTGGATCAGTGTAGTCCTGTTTGGTTGGGGTGGGGAGAGTGCTATTAGCTCCATTTCACGGGCAGATTTCAGATCATTTGCCTTAGAACTCTCAGTAGTCTGCATTGTGCCTAGGACTCAAAGTCAGGTGTTCCTTCTGCCTTCAAAGCCTCATAGTCTTTTCTTGACCACTAAGTCACCTCCCTAGCTATGATCCTGTTCCCAGGGTCTTCTGGATGGCTCAGATGCCTGTCACAGCACGCAGGGGCTTCTCTCTGCCCCACATTCTGGTTTGGCCTCATTGCAAAATGAGGCTGTTTCTGGTATGGCTCCTTCCTCTCTCCTCACTCCAGGCCCTCTCCAGTGCTCCCAGGGCCTGACAAACCTCTTCCACCTGGCTCGGATCCCTGTCACCTGAGGAACCAGGTGCCCACTGGAAGCCTTTCTGGAGTTTTCTCTGAGCTTGGAGAAGGGATGGTGTCAGGGAGGAAAGCGAGAATACAGTTCTGCTTGTTCTCTGTTCCGGGCCTTCCAGATCCTGCCTTCCAGTTCTCTCTTTAACAACTATCGGTCACCAAATAGCTATTCCATACAACTTTGTATGATAATGTCTACATAAATGTAAAATAATCTATTTTTAAAAATGTCCATGTCCCATCATCCCACCTGGGAAGTAGAACTGTGCCAAGGGTGTGCTGGAGCTCATAGCAAATTGCACCAGCTCACAAGAGGCAATTGTCTCTCTGAACTGACTGGCACATAAATGCTGTCTTAAAATTGGCCATGCTAGTAGTATTTACACTCTGGAAATTGGCAAACACTATGAATCAGGGCTTCACCCTGCCACACAGTGCTGTCAGTGTGCCCATCCATCTGTCCCTCTCTGTTTCCACCCACCCAGGGTTAGCCTTTATACTTGCTGTTTGAGGTTGGTGAGGCTGGTATGGCTGCACAGGAGTGAGGCAGAAGACATCAGAGGAAACAGGCTGGGTCGTGAAGCCTGCTGGAAGGTCTTTACTCGGAGTGAGATGAGAAACCAAGCCGGGATTTTAAGCAGGAGAATGGCCCTGTTTGGCTCAGGTTAAGGGCTCACTCCAGTTGCTATGGGGAGAATGGACATAGGGAGATGGGGCAGAAACAGGGAAACTGGTAGGAGGCAGCTGCAAAACTCCAGATGGGACAGATGATGGTGGCTTGGTGTTGGAAGCTGGGCTAGTGCACCTGCGCTATTTTGGAAGGCACCATTGTGCAATATAGCAGCTCAGGGAGGTAATGGTGAAGGTGGCCTGATGTAGTAGGATTCTGGATATTTGTATAAGGCAGAGAGAAAAGAATATGCTAATGAATAGATTTTGGGGTGAGAGAGGAATTAACGTTGACTTCAACGTTTTGACCTGAACAACTGGAAGGATGAGATGGCTATTTACTGAATTAGAGAAGCTGCCAGGGGGAGCAGGTTGAGGGACTCCTATCCTATGCTAAATCGTAGATCATCTTTTACACAGTCTTCTAAAATTTTTAGTTTTGCTTTTCACATTTAACTCTTTAATCCACCTGGGGTTGATTTTTGTTTTTAGTATGAAGTAGGGATTCATTTTCAAAAACTGTAGATGGCTTTTGTGAGTTTTAGCCATTTAAGAAAGTAGTAAAACTGAGGCTTGAGGAAACTTTAGGCAGCTTGCCCAGCTGTATAAAGAGTGAGATGACGAGCTCAGGCATTCCTTGGGCATCTGTGTGCCCAGCCCTCAAAATAATGGAACAACAACACCAGAAATCTTTCCCCAGTAGGGATTCATTTTCAATTCCTTCTTTATGTGGGTTACTGACTGCCTCAGTACCTTTTATTGAATAGGCTCATCTTTCCTCCCGGTGACCTGCAGTGGTACTTCTGTTATCCATCAGGTTTTGACACATGCATAGATCAGTTTCAGGCTCTATTCTGTCCATTGGTCTAATATTACATTTTTAATCACCAAAGTATTATAAGTAGCCTGATATCTGGTCAGGCAATACTCCCACTACCACCCCTCCACCACCATCACCAGTTAATGTCTTGGGTTTCTAGGCCCTTTACTCTCCCATACAAATGTTATTAATAAACAGAAATTTCCATGAAAAACCCTGTTGGGATTTTGATTGGAAATACATTGAATCTACAGCTCAATTTAAGGGCTGTTGTCAGCTTTATAATGAATTTTCTAATATATGAATATGGTATATACCTCCATTAATTTAAGTCTTCCTTCGATATCTCTCAGTAACATTTTGTGATTTTTTTTTTTCTATAAACATCATGCAGGTTTTTTTGTTAGACTTACTCAGGAGAATCTCTTTTTTTGCTGCTGTTGAAAATGATATCTTTTTAAAATTATATTTTCTAACTTTGCTGCTGATACCGTATACACAAATGCAATTTTTGTTTTTGTATATTAATCTCGTATCCAGAAGCTTTATGCAGCTCACCAATTAATTCCAGTAATTAGTTATTGATTCTTTAGGAGTGCTTTTGAATAGTAATAATGGCTACATTTATGCATAGTATTTAACATATGCCAGGTACTGCTCTGAGTACTTTATATATATATTTTATTCTGCACATGAATCCCATGTGGTAAATGCTACAATTCCCATTTTTTTTTCCAGATAAAAAATAATTGAGTCATGGAAAAGTTAAATAACTTAATTAAGGCCACACAGATAGGGACGGTCAGAATTGGGATTTAAACCCTGCCAGTCAGAGGCTAGAGTTTAAATTCCTAAACACTAGGCTTTTCTTACCTTTATATCAGCATCTGGCTGACCTCTCTAGGACAATGGTGTCTATAAGCAGGAAAAACAGGCATCCTTATCTCCTTCTTGATTCTAACATTACATCATTAAATATAATATAGTCTGTTTTCATACTGCTGATAAAAACATACCTGAGACTGGGTAATTTATAAAGAAAAAGAGGTTTAATAGACTCACAGTTCCATGTAGCTGGGGAGGCCTCACATCATGGTGGAAGGTGAAAGGCACGTCTTACACGGTGGCCGACAAGAGAGAATGGGAACCAAGTGAAAGAAGTTTCCCCTTATAAAGCCATCAGATCTCATGAAATTTATTCACTACCATGGAAACAGCATGGGGGAAAATGGAGCTGGCTCTGGGTCTTAGTCTGGCTTTGGGTGTCCTGAGAGTTTGGTGAACTTCATGTGGGGAGAGTATTGGCATGGCCGTGAGTCCTGGGTGTATAGGCTTCCCACAGACAGGGCTGCGGGGGAACCATGTGGGATGGCCTGCAGGAATATGGCCACGGTGAGTGGCCCTTTGTGTATTTTCTGCCTCCCAACTCACCGTGGCTCCAGCTTCAGAAGGAGGTCAGAGCAGAACACCCCTGTGGGCTAACATGAAGGTCCTCATCTGCTCCATGCAGCAGGGCTGGGAGGGGAGAGTAGAGGGTCAGCCCATGGTAAGGACAAGCCACATACAAATCAAAACCTTGGCTGGGCTCACCTGGACATTGTGTCTTTGAGTCACAGAGCAGGCAGAATGGTAGCTTACGTCCTGTCCTTTTCCCTCTGTGTCCAGGTATCCAGGGATCCCTGAACCAGCTTACCAAGGATTTTCTTTTTTTCACTTCTTTCCATTGTTGGAATTCTGATTTCCTCTATTTGGTGTCTTCCTCTTTCTTGGTTTGCTCTCTTGTCTTTGGGGTGGATTCCATCTCCCAGCTTGATGTGACTGTCATTGGAGAACACAGCCCTGTAATGATTTCAATCCTTTGAAATTGTTCAGATTTGCTTTAGAGCCCAGTAGATGGTGATTTTTGTAGATGATCTGTGTGTGCTTAAGAATAATCTCTCCAGGCCGGGCGCAGTGGCTCACGCCTGTAATCCCAGCACTTTGGGAGGCCGAGGCGGGTGGATCATGAGGTCAGGAGATCGAGACCATCCTGGCTAACAAGGTGAAACCCCGTCTCTACTAAAAATACAAAAAATTAGCCGGGCGCGGTGGCGGGCGCCTGTAGTCCCAGCTACTCGGGAGGCTGAGGCAGGAGAATGGCGTGAACCCGGGAAGCGGAGCTTGCAGTGAGCCGAGATTGCGCCACTGCACACCAGCCTGGTGACAGAGCAAGACTCCATCTCAAAAAAAAAAAAAAAAAAATCTCAGGAGGCGGAGCCAGGCAGATCACAAGGTCAAGAGATCGAGATCATCCTGGCCAATATGGTGAAACCCTATATCTACTAAAAATACAAAAATTAGCTGGCATGATGGCGCATGTCTCTACTAAAAATACAAAAATTAGCTAGGCGTGATGGCGCACGCCTGTAATGGCTTCTCAGGAGGCTGAGGCAGAAGAATCGCTTGAACCCGGGAGGCGGAGGTAGGCGGAGGTTATAGTGAGCGGAGATCGCGCCACTGCACTCCAGCCTGGTGACAGAGCAAGACTCCCTCTCAAAATAATGATAATAATAATAATAATAACAATCTCTTGGGTAAGGGATTCTGCATTTGTCTATAGAACAGGCTTGTTAATAATTTCTGCACAAATCTTCTAATCCTTATTAATATGCTTTGCTTGATCTATTAGTTACTAAAATATGTGTCTTTAAATCTCCCTCTATAATAGCAGCTTTGTCCATTTGTCCTGTGGTTCTGTCAATTTTGCCTTATCTATTTTGAGATTATTTCAATGTAGCAAGTTCAGAATCATTACATTACCTTAATGAATTGCAATTGTTTTTGTTTTTCATCGTGCCGTTGCCCTACAGTCTATTTCACCTGATATAGTTAGACCAGACTGCTTTTGGTTAGTGTTTGCCTGGGTATATCTTTTTCTGTTCTTCCATGTTTATCCTCTCTTTGTGTCCTTTTAAATATGCCTTCAATGATACATACCTGGAAAACATTTTCTGTAGTGTCATCATCTGGTTTTTAACGAATGGGTTTAATTCGTTCATATTGATTCTCGTTACTGATATAGACTATTTGGGTTTATTTCCATGATCTTATTTTTCGTTTTCTATTTGTGCTGCTTTTTCTTTTCTTTTCTTTTCTTTTTTTTTGAGATGGAGTCTCACTCTGTTGCCCAGGCTGGAGTGCAGTGGCGCGCTCTCAGCTCACTGCAAGCTCCGCCTCCTGGGTTCACGCCATTCTCCTGCCTCAGCCTCCCAAGTAGCTGAGACTACAGGCGCCTGCCACAACGCCCGGCTAATTTTTTTTTTTGTATTTTTAGTAGAGACGGGGTTTCACCGTGTTAGCCAGGATGGTGTGCTGCTTTTTCTTTGTGGCTTCTTTTTCTCTCTCTTTTTGGATTTACATCAGCTTTCTTATTTTTCTCAATCTGATATTTGTTCTTTTCTACTCCTCTTATTCTTTGAGTGGTTACCTTTGACATTTTTATATGCGTAATTAACAAATTATAAAGTTAATCTAGGCATTTGTGTTTTCCTGAACACTAAGGGCCTTAGAAGGCTTTAACTTTGGCTGGGCGCCGTGGCTCACACCTGTAACCCCAGCACTTTGGGAGGCCGAGATGGGCGGATCACAAGGTCAAGAGATCCAGACCATCCTGGCTAACATGGTGAAACCCCGTCTCTACTAAAAATACAAAAATTAGCTGGGTGTGGTGGCGCATGCCTGTAATCCCAGCTACTCAGGAGGCTGAGGCAGGAGAGTAGATTGAACCTGGGAGATGGAGGTTGCAGTGAGCCAAGATTGAGCCACAGCACTCCAGCCTGGAGACAGAGCGAGACTCCGTCTCAAAAAAAAAAAAAAGAAAAAAAAAACTTTAATTAACTTTAATTACTCTCCCGACCTCCACCTCAGCTTACATGTTATTATTTTATAGAATTTATATATGTATTATATATAGGATTTAGATATATGTATATATAGAATTTATATATATATTCTCGGCCTCCCAAAGTGCTGGGATTACAGGCGTGAGCCACCGCGCCCAGCCCACATCTTTTTATTTCTTTGTATTGCATCCTAATATTAATTTCTTTAGGTATATCTTCCAGTTTACCATTTTCTCTCAGCTTTATTTGATCTGCTATTTTATCTGTTAATTGAATTTCTTTTTAAACTTTTATGATGGCAATTTTCAAGCTTATGGAAAAGAAGAGAACTTAGTTTATAAATAGATGTTGCATATACCACTCAGCCTCAACAATGATTAATACATAGCCGATCTTGTCTCATCTTTTCTCCCACCCATCCACTCCCACCCAAGATTATTTCAAAGCAAGTCCCAGGCATCTTATTGCCATGGAGTTTAATTTTTTTTCAATTATTATGTGTTTCATTTCTGAAATTCCGTTTGCTTCTCTTACTAATCTATCTGCTCTTTCTGGATGGTTTCTTACTCTTTGCTTATATTTTTATTCTCTCTTATGGTTTCAATCATTAAATATAGGTTTTTTGTTTGTTTGTTTGTTTGTTTGAGACAGAGTCTCTCTCTGTTGCCCAGGCTGGACTGCAGTGGCACGATCTCGGCTCACTGCAACCTCCGCCTCCCGGGTTCAAGCAATTCTCCTACCTCAGCCTCCTGAGTAGCTGGGATTACAGGAGCCCGCCACCACGCCCAGCTAATTTTTGTATTTTTAGTAGAGACGGGGTTTCACCATGTTGGTCAGGCTGGTCTCGAACCCCTGACCTCGTGATCCACCCGCCTTGGCCTCCCAAAGTGCTGGGATTACAGGCGTGAGCCACTGCCCCCGGCCTAAATATACTTATTTTGTATTCTGTATCTGATCATTCAAATCTTTGCTAATTTGGGAGATTTTGTCCTTTGGTGTTTCTGCTGACTCTTGATCATTGCAACGTATCTGCTTGTGCATGTTTGAATTTTGAAAACAGAGATAAGTTTTCCTAAGTTACAGGTATTAGTTGCCACTTGCTAGATGTCTTGATGAATGTCCAATAATTTTGTCTTTCCAACCATGCAAAAAAATCTCATTTCTTGGTATAGTTGAAGACACTGAAGCTCAGAGAGGTTAAAAATTTCTCTGAGGCTATACTACCCATAAATAATGGAGTCTGGGTTTGAACCCAAACGACTTTACTTTGAAACCCTTCCCACTCTCCTTCCGTTCCACAATTTACCATCCGTAGAGGAAACTGACACCCAATATAAGCCATGGAGTACCCGACTGCCACTGAATTGGGCACTTGGGGTTTCTTCATGGTATTCTACAGGGGCTGCTGAGGAGACAAAGAGCCTCATGAAGGCTTCTTACACACCAGAGGTCATTGAGAAATCAGTGAGGGACTTAGAACACTGGCATGGCAGGAAGACGGATGATCTGGGTAAGTGAGGAGCTGCGGGTGATGGGAGGCAGGGACTGTCCTCCACCAGCAGGGTGTGTTGGCTCTAAGGGTCAGAGAGAAACCAGAGCAGGAGACAGAGCCGGGGTGGACTTGGAAGAGGTACGAGTCATCCCTGGGGTCTGGGCAACTCCAGAGACTGCCAGATGATCTAATCTGTGCTGGCTCTTCTCCTGCTCGCTGTAGGGCGGTGGCACCAGAAAAATGCTATGAACCTGAACTTGCAGAAAGCACTGGAAGAGAAATATGGAGAAAACAGCAAATCCAAGAGCTCCAAGTACTAGTTTTGACACAGTAGAGGTGTCTTCTACTCAAATAAAGTGCTAACAATAAGGAAAGGCTCAGGTCCGAGTCCTCCTGTGCTTGGTGCCTTTCTTCACACTGGAGTAGAGGCCGATATGTGGTGTTGGAGAGACCAACTGGGGGAAGATAGAAGCCCTGGGGTCCCAAACTATTCCCTAGTCCTCCCTCCTGCACACACATGCACACACACGTACCTTCATCCATTATCCCAGGAAAGGACATGAGAGCTGGGCATGACTCTGTCTCAAGCCCAGGGTGCCTGGCTTCTCCCACATGCCCTATGTGAGGGGGTCCTATAGTGGACACTGCTGGATCTTACCCTACATGCTCTTCCTAGAAGATGCCAATTATTCCCAGACATCCATTCCTCCCCCACGAGACACGGACTTCAGAGGAGTTGGCCACACACATTTCCTCCAATCTAGTGGCGGGTTTGATTGGTCTCATGGTGATTCTTTACCCCTACCCCAACCCCACCTCTTGCACGTGATTGGTTCAGTCATGCACATATGACTCAATTTGGGCCAATAAGATGCAAGGAAACGTGTGGATGCGTGCAGCCTTCTGGGAAATTCTTTTCTCAGCTGGGAATGCTGAGAGAGCATCCATCTTTCCTGATGTAATGAATGAGGAACCATGCAGCCCAGACCACTCCTGCCAGACACCTATGACCAGAGGAATTGCAGACCATGCAGCACATTCTGGGTCCTCCATGGCCTCGCAGAGCTGCTCCATCAACTTGGCCAGAAGCTGCCGGCCTCTGGACTTCCTGTAATGTGAGCCTGAGGTCTCCTCATTGTTTAAGGAGCCAAAAGCATCCTCAGACCATAGGGGCTTGGAGCCCCAGGGAAGAGTCCCCAGATAATGGGTTCTAGGTCAGACGGTTCTGTTTTCCAGTTGATCCTGAAGCTTTTCACCTGATGAGTCTCTAAGCCCGCAGCACACTCCACCCCGAGATCACTGACTTGCACCCTCAGACCGTGCTCTACCCATGGGTTATTTATTATTTGCTGTGTTCCAAAACACCACCAAAACTTGTGGGCTTAAAATGACATGATCCTTAATTTGCTCATGATTGAGCAATTTAGGCAGGGCTCAGGAGGTACGGCTCATTTCTGTTCTGTATAGCATCTGCTGTGAAGACGCCTGCTCCTCTCCCATGCCTAGTGCCTCAGCTGGGATGAGAACCACAGTGGGGGGCTGGCTGATCATCACTCTCTCTCATGGGACCTCTCTTCGTGGCTCACTTGAGCTTCTTTTGGAATGGGGACTAGGTTTCAAGAAGGAGCCGTCTCAGGGGACAAGATTCAATGTGCAATGGTTTATCAAGCCTTGCACTGGCTTGTCAATGTCCCTGTGGCCAAAGAGACATATGGCCAAGCCCAGACTTTGTGAGAGGGGACTACATAAGAGTATTACTGTATGCAGGAATGGTTCATTGGCGACCTCAAAATAATAGTTTGTCCTGGTGGTCATCTTGCTTTTGAAAGATCAAAAGCGAGAGGAAGAATCAAAATCACTACTGGGAGAAGAGGAGACATGTTCCTACTTCTCCCTCAACTGCCCCTCCTCCCACAAAAGGGAATGACTTACTTACTTTTTTTTCTTTGTCTTTTCTTTTTTTTTTTTTTTTGAGATGGAATCTGGCTCTGTTGTCCAGGCTGGAGTGCAGTGGTGTGATCTTGGCTCACTGTAACCTCCGCCTTCTGGGTTCAAGCTATTCTCCTGCCTCAGCCTCCCGAGTAGCTGGGATTACAGGAGTGCACCACCATGACCAGCTAATTTTTGTATTTTTAGTAGAGATGAGGTTTCACCATGTTGGCCAGGCTGGTCTTGAACTCCTGAGCTCAAGTGATCCACCCGCCTCAGCCTCCCAAAGTGCTGGGATTATAGGCGTGAGCCACCACGCCCGTCCAGGAATGACTTAAAGGTAGGGTTGGATCAGAATGCAATACAGGGAAGTGAATCTGACTTGATTTAATATTCATCAAATATCTAATTATGTGCAAAGTGCAGAGTTCAGTTCAACTTCTTTACTGGGTACCTAGTTTCTGCAAGACACTGTTCTGGGCACTGGAAACACTAGACTTTGTCTTCATCAACTACTATGTGCCCATCACATGTGACACCTGAAAAAATGAGCCACCCAAAGTCTTGTGGCTAAAGCAGACTCTGTGCTGTTCTGACATAGAAATGATAACGTGGCAAATGATTATGTGCCACATGGTTTATATACGGAACTGTATTTCATCCTTACACCAGTCCTCAGAGCTGTTATCACTCCCTTTATGAAGATGAGGAAACTGAGGCTTGGAGAGGCCAAGGAAATTGTACAAGATTATATGCATAGGAAGCTGGGGGTGCAAACCCAGGAATTTCTATCCAAAGTCACTTCTACTCTACCAGGCAATCGTACTGCAGTGTACGTAGTATGACAGTGCAGTGCCTAACAGGGCTGAGTGTTTGTGGTGCCTGTTGACGGAGCACCACAAACACTCAGCCCTATTAGGCACGGTGAAAACAGCAATATGAATGCAATACAATATGCAATATGCATATGCAATATGCAATACAGTCCAGACCTCAGAGCTTTGCAGTCTGCAGGAGATTGATGTGGAAGAAGCTGCCTTAGAGACTTATCTACCCATGATATGCCCCTGCCCAGCCCTGACCAATGAGCTGGACGTGCAAAAATAAATAAGACATGGCGCCTGTCCTCAAAGAGTTCAGAGTCTGGCGAGAAGACAAATACATCAGTACATAGATGCTCAGAAGTCTTACACATGCGGTGAGACGTTCACGTGGGGCCAGCAAAAGCACAAAGGAGAACGTGGTTAGCTCTGCCTGGGATGGGGTAGGGTGCCGGTCATATGGTAGGCTTCATAGAGGAGGTGGCTCTTGAGATGAATCATGGAACATGAATAAGGATGTTCAGGTGGACTGGAAGAGGCACAGCATTCCAGACAGAGGGCATGGTATGCATGAAACTGCAGCATGATGTATTTGGCAAGCTGCAGGTAGCTTGTTAAGCTTGGAAGGTAGGGCTCCAAGGAGGAACACAGAGGTGAGGTAGGAAACAGAGAGTCTATGCCTGGACCGGGCTGTCCTCTGTGAGGGCCTTACATTTGAGACTCAGACCTTCCTTCTAGGAATTTACAGTCTGGCTGGAACATAAAGAGTTAATGACTAAAGAAGCCACACGGAAGAGTTGAAAAGATGCTCATTATCCCCAATAATCAGAGATGCAAATGAAAACAATCCATCAGGTTGGCAAGAATTAAAACGCAAGTGTAGATGAGAATGAGGGAAATGGAAACTTTCGTACCCTTGATGAATTATGAGCCAAGAGCCGTGGGTGAGTATTTAGCAAAATTGAAATTATATCATACAACCTACAATTTCCATTTCTACACAGCCTAGACAAACCCTTGAACATGTATATAGGGAGTGCGTGCAAAGATCTCCATTGCAGCATAGTTTACAATAGGAAAACAACCTGGCAAGTATTAAAAGTTCTTGTTCTCAGCTGGGTGCAGTGGCTCATGCTTGTAATCCCAGCACTTTGGGAAGCTGAGGTGGGCACATCGTTTGTGGTCAGTGGTTTGAGAATAGCCTGGCCAATGTGGTGAAACCGTGTCTCTACTAAAAATTCAAAAAAATTAGCCAGACATGGTGGCAGGTGCCTGTAGTCCCAGCTACTTGGAGGCTGAGGCAGGAGAATCACTTGAACCCAGGAGGCGGAGGTTGCAGTGAGCCAAGATCGTGCCACTGGACTCCAGCCTGGGCAACTGAGTGAGACACCATCTCAAAAAAAAAAAAAAAAAAGTAAAACAACCTAAATGCACTTTAGCTGGACAATGGACAAATGGGATGATCTATGGCAGTGGAAAGAAATGAACCACATCTGCATGTATCAGCATAGGAAGATCTCACAATACATCATTGCGGGTGAAAATGACAATCTGCAGAACGACCCCTACAGCAGGAAATGTACTGTTGATGTAGCCTTCAAAAGGGACACACAAAACCAGTCCATTGCTTATGGGTATGAGTATGGAAGGTGAATGGGAAGGATGCCACAGAAATCCAACTTCACATTACATTTAATTTAGTGCTTTTCAGAAGCAGCTTTACAAGACAGAGCTGCCAAAATGCTTTCTGATGAGATAACTAAGATGCTAGCAAGAGTGTCTGAGAAACACAGTGTTGGTGAGCTGATCTAAAGTTAAGTGAGCAATTTCAATGTTGACATAAGGGAACAAATGTCTCATGTTTTATGACTTTGTCTCAGTTAAAGATTCATCCTCAGAAAGAGGAACCCTTTTTAATTAAACATTGAATGTTCTAGAGAGAGAAAAGCTGTAATCTTGGCAAAGTAAATAAAATATGCGTAGATTTTTTTTAACTTAAAGAAGGTCTTTTATTTCACTGGCGTGGTTCCCAATAGCATTCCTTGTTCTTCATGTTCCTGAGGTCCCTAGATAGCGGAATTCACAATGATTCTTAACTTTCAAGGAGGCACAGGGGCCAGGTAGTACGTAAGCATTAATTCATATAGTGAAAAAAATTGGTCACACTTCAATTCATGCAGGGCCTCATTTGCCCATTGTGACTCAAAACCATCTTCATAATTTCTGTAATATCCGTGTACCACTCAAGGGAACACCAATAAAATCAATTTAGGTTGCTTTAACCCAGGATACAGTAGATGAGCCTGCCATGGCTATAATCCCAGTCCAGATCGCCCCCTGGTGGCAGTATGTCCAAATTGCAGGCCCAGAGATTCGGAATCATAAGCCCACAATGTACATGCTGTGGAGGGACAGAGAGACCATTTAGTTACATCTTTCTAACCGTGCTTTCCTACTCCCACTCCAGTTCTATGTTATAGATGAGGAAACTGAGGCCACATTGAACACATTTATGCTTAAATTGCAAGAGAGGAGTTTATGTTGCCTGCTTTGCAAATCCAAACTCTCAATGATGTCAGAGTGGTAGGCTGATCTTTTTCCCATTCTCCCTCCCAGAATCATGGACTCTGTAATAAACAGGAACTAGAAGGAGCCACAGCAGAGGAAAATTCAAATGCAGGTTTGCTGTAGAAAGGCAACAAGAGACTCTAGCTAGGCTCGTGTTCTTGGGAAGACCACCTCGCTTGTCAGAGCCAGTTCTCATTTCTAGAGTACTAACAGAGGGACAGTTCCACCTCTTTCAGAGGCTATTGTGAAGATTACCTGAGAAAATGCATGCCATGTATCTGGCACAGAGCCAGTTATAGACACGCAATAAACACTTATGCTTTTCCTTCCTCAAGGCCCTGTTTCCTAAATATGTTTAAAAGAACTCTGTGGCATGTTAACAGATGTTCTATGAAAAATTATCCCATTGTCAAATAAATCAGGTTATGCTGGTTTACATAACACTATACAGATTGCTTTTGGGCAAGACTTCTCAGAACTTTGAACACGCTAAAATTGATTGCGTCACTCCATATTATTATACATAGTTTTCGCTGTTCCTCACTTCGCCTGGCACAGACAGAGAAAACTATGAACATCAGTTACAACGGCTGTGATTATGACAATGATTTTATTAAAATTGCAGGTTCAGAAGCCTGGGAGGTCAGCCGAGGAAGAGGAGTCCTGTTTTGGGGGGTGGTTAGATGGACTGATGTGTTAATCCAGATGCCCATTACCAATGCTCATGGAGAAATGTGCCTGCCAAAGGCCTGGCCACTTCCTTCCTCTGGCCCACACTGCACGCATCGCACTTGGGAAGCAGATAATCAGAGAAGGGAGTAAGCCTACTCTCAGGACAAGGGGTTGAGTTTCTTTCATTGCTGGCATTGCATGAATCAGTCTGAGTGAGGGCATCTTAGCCTCCCTGTGCTGCTGGCTTCCCTGGTTTACGACAAGCAAAAGGGGTTAGGTGACCTGTCCAGGGCAGTGGCAGGAGCCAGGCTTGGGCCCCTCCTATCCAAATCCCTTTTCAAGGGGCCAGTATATATATATATATATATATATTTTTTTTTTTTTTTTTTTTTTTTTTTTTTTGAGACAGAGTCTCACTCTGTCACCCAGGCTGGAGTGCAGTGGTGCAATCTCGGCTCACTGCAAACTCTGGCTCCTGTGTTCAAGCGATTCTCCTGCCTCAGCCTCCTGAGTAGCTAGGATTACAGGTGCATGCCACCATGCCTGGCTAGTTTTTGTATTTTTAGGAGAGATGGGTTTTCACCATGTTGCCCAGGCTAGTCTCGAACTCCTGAGCTCAGGCAATCCGCCTAACTTGGCATGCCAAAGTGCTGGGATTACAGGTGTGAGCTACCGTGTCTGGCCCCAGCAGACCAGTATTTACTGAGCACCTACTATACGCTGAGTGTTTGGCACCATGTGGGAGACAGAGATGAGTAGTCCTTGGCTCAGAGAGATGATAATATGAGACAAAGATGAAATTAATACAAGGTGGTGAAGGGTCAGGAGAGAGAGGGTGCAGCCTGGGGGATGGAAGTCAACTGCCTGGGGCTTCCAGGGTGGGAATTTAGAAGCTGGGGAGCATTGCTCCTGGCCCCAGGTGATTTGGGGTCAGCGTTACTAGAGCTTTGGAGCAGGTCAGGGTCCCATGCAGACTTCCTAGGGTAAAACATTCCAAGTCTCCAGAGGGAAGGGAATTGGTCACTGTGGGCCCTTTGGAGGTCAGAAATAAATAGTTCAGCTGCTCATTTGCTCCCCAAATGGTTCCCACAGCACATCCTCTCTGGCTGTCCCTAAACAAGCAAGCCCATTCTTTTGTGCAATCAATTCTGGGTGATTATAGGTTTCTTCCAGTCATCTTGACCTGTGACCCCCCTAAGGGATTTTCCCTAGATTTTGTTTTATATAATATTTATTTATTTAATTTTTTAAATATTTTTGTTGTTGTTGTTGAGACAAAGTCTCACTCCGTCACCCAGGCTGGAGTGCAGTGGTAAGATCTCAGCTCACTGCAACCTCCCGGGTTTAAGTAATTCTTGTGCCTCAGCCTCCTGAGTAGCTGGGACTATAGGTGTGCATCACTACATCTGGCTAGTTTTTGTATTTTTAGTAGAGATGGGGTTTTTACCACGTTGGCCAGGCTGGTCTCGAACTCCTGACCTCAAGTGATCCACCCATCTCAGCCTCCCAAAGTGCTGGATTACAAATGTAAGCCACTGTTCCTGGACTTCATATAAGATTTAGTTAGGTCTATTTACCTTACTCCCCAACCTTCTTGCAATGTCCAACACAGATAAGTTGATTCACCAAGGAGAGACCACATTTTCTCAGACTTAAGGGACTTGAACCACAGGGTGACCCCATTAAGAATAATAGCTAGCACTGAGAAAGCACTGTATACACATGAACTCACCTAGTCACCACAACACCCCTGCTAGGTAGGTACCTTTATTGTCCTCATTGCCTCATAGATCCAGAAATTGAGGCACAGAAAATTCTAGTGACTCCCCCAAGGTCACACAGCTAGTGTGTTGGAGCTGGAGTTTGAATCCAGGTGGTTTAACTTGGAGGTCCTCAACTTTAACCTCACCTAGGTCACGTTGCTCAGGGGAAGTACAAACTATGGTGGGCAAGGTTGAGGTCTAGAATACGTATGTAAAAAGTCCAGAGGAGAGGCCGGGTGCGGTGGCTTACGCCTGTAATTCTAGCACTTTGGGAGGCCGAGGGGGACGGATCACTTGAGGTCAGGAGTTTGAGACCAGCCTGGCCAATATAATGAAACCCCGACTCTACTAAAAATACAAAAATTAGCTGGGTGTGGTGGCGGGTGCCTGTAATCCCAGCTACTTGAGAGGCTGAGGCACGAGAATCACTTGAACCCAGGAGGCGGAGGTTGCAGGGAGCCGAGATCACACCACTGCACTCCAGCTTGGGTGATAGAGCAAGACTCAGTCTCAAACAAACAAACAAACAAACAAAAGTCCAGAGGAGGCAGTTTACATGGAGATTTTCATATTTGCTGCTAGTCATTAAATTCTTCCTAATTATGAAGCGGGAGAGATATTTTAAAGCTGGGTGAAGGAGAAGGAAAAGCTGCAGATGCATTTGGTAGGATTTGGGGAAAAGCCAGGCAACTTCTTCAAATAAATTAACCCGAGATAATTACAGGCTGACTTGAGGTCCACAGTCCAAGCAGGGCTTCTTGGACTGTAGACTTGAAGTCTTTATAACACTGTGCTCCCTCCCTGAGGAAGAACAAGAGGAAAAAGGCTGGGAGGTCTTTAGAGACCCCTATCTGCACCTCCCTGTTTAACAAATGGGGAAACTGAGGCCTGCATGGACAATAAAGTGAACTGTCAAGGTCCCAAAGCATGTGAGAGGAAGACACAGAATTGAGCTCAGGTGTTTCGGCTTCCTTTGGGGCACCCTCTCAGTGACCTTGCTGCCCTGGCTAATTCAATGCAGGGTGGCCAGAACCAGGACTCAGCTCTGGATGCCAGCTCAGCTGCCAAACAGCTGTGAGACCCTGGGCAAGAGGCCTCCTCTGAGCCTCAGTTTCCTCATTTGTAAACTGGGGATAGTCAGAGAATCTACCTTATGGGGCGGTTGTGAGGGTCTAGGGGCTCCTGGGATGAAGCGCCTGCCATAGTACCTGGCGTGGAAGAGGGGCTGGATAAGTGTGATTTAGCCTTAGTATATTTCCCACATACCTCAGCCACCCAGAAATGATCAGAAACAAAGAAAGGACAAAGGAGAAACCGTTTCAGTTTAGCCGCAGGAAAGCTGAGAAGGGAGATGAAGGATATCTGTAGGGACAGAAATTAGACCCTAGGGTGGAGTCTGGGCCGGGCTTTGCCTGCAGGGGGCAGATAAGCATATTACACATTGCCCAGCTGAGAATAAAAACCAAAGCCCCTCCAGAACAGTCCCTGGGGACCAAGCCACATGGCTGGGGAAGAGCCTCAGAGTTTGGGTTCCCTAAAAGCAGACCCCGGAACAAGGATTCCCATGCAAGGGTTTACTTGGGAACCCTCATGAGGAGATGCAGGGAGGGGAGTGGGGAAGAGAGAGAAAGAAGGAAGCCAATCAAATGTACACAACTGGCCGGGTAGGGCGGCTCACACCTGTAATCCCAGCACTTTGGGAGGCCGAGGCGGGCAGATCACCTGAGGTCAAGAGTTCGTGACCAGCTTGGCCAACATGGTGAAACTCTGTCTCTACTAAAAATTCAAAAATTAGCCAGGCGCGGTGGTGGGCGCCTGCAATCCCAGCTACTCGGGAGGCTGAGGTAGGAGAATCGCTTGAACTTGGGAGGCAGAGGTTGCAGTGAGCTGAGATCATGCCACTGCGCTCTAGCCTGGGAGACAGAGAGAGACTCCATCTCAAAAAAAAAAAAAAAAAAAAAAAAAGAAAGAAAGAAAGAAAGAAAAAAAAAGTACACGATGACGGAAATTACCCCTGGAACTTAACTCCCCCCAGGAACTCTAGGAAGCATGTAGAATCTGTAGAACCTCAGAGCTATCGGGGCGTTGGGGTAGGGCTGCCCCCATGGCAGGGGAGGGCTGCACCTCCTTGGCACTCGCAGCCTTGGGGCAGGCTCTGCTCCAGCGGCGGTGGCAGTAGCGTGTGTCCCTGTCATAGGAGGCCAGTGTGGGCGCTGGCGGCAGGAGTCAGGGGGAGCACCCTGAATGGTCCAGGTGGCAGAGTGGGTGTCAAAGGGAAACACAACCGACATGAGTGCAGGCAGTGGAAGTGGAGGCAGATTTGGTTCAGCAGGGGAAAGAGCTGAGCTCTGTTCCAGCTTCTGCAGAGGTGGCTGGGCAGACGTTTGAAAGAAAGAACGTGGGAGCTGGGAAGACAGCAGGCACTCAAGTGAACAGCGATGAGGGCTGGGCAGGGTCGGAGCCATCCCGCCAGTTGTGTCTATGTCTGCAAGCTGGCAATGATCTCAGCTGGGATTCAGTTCACCCAGAGACAGGGAGACAGAGGCCCTGTCCTTCCTGAGGATTCCATTTCAAAGGAACAACTTTCAGGCCGCTCCTGCGCTGTAGAAGATGCACACATATCTCAAAGGGACCAGGGAGGGATTCATCATCGTAAGCTGTTCTTAGGTTAATTTTCTAAGAAAGAGAGGCCAGGGCTGGTATAATTTGGGTATGTGTTTGTTGCCTCCCAAATCTCATGTTAAAATGTGATCCCCAATGTTGGAAGTGGGGCCTGGTGGGAGGCGTTTGGGTCATGGGGTGGGTCCCTCGTGGCTCGGTGCTGTTCCCGCAGTAGGAGTGAGTACTTGTGGGATCTGATTGGGTAACTGTGTGGCCCCTCCCCCCTCACTCTCTCGCTCCTGTTTTCATCATGTGACAGACATGCCTGCTCCCGCTTCGCCTTCTGCCATGAGTTAAAGTTCCCTGAGGCAGCTGGCTCATGACTGTAATCCCAGCACTTTGGGAGGCCGAGGCAGGTGGATCACGAGGTCCGGAGATCGAGACCATCCTGGCCAGCATGGTGAAACCCTGTCTCAACTAAAATACAAAAAAATTAGCCAGGCGTGGTGGCACGTGCCTGCAGTCCCAGCATCTCGGGAGGCTGAGGCAGGGGAATCGCTTGAACCTGGGGGCAGAGGTTGCAGTGAGCCGAGATCCTACCACTGCACTCCAGCCTAGCGACAGAGCAAGACTCCACCTCAAAAAAAAAAAAAAAAAAAAAAAGATTCCCTGAGGCTTCCCTAGAAGCAGATGCCAGCATGCTCCTTCCTGTATGGTCTGCAGAACTGTGAGCCAATGAAACCTTTTTTCTTATGAATTAACGGCCAAATACAGGGACCTATTGTCAGGCATTGGCTAGAACAAAAACAGTCAATTCTCCAGGTAATGTTGAGCTTTCTCAAGCAGCATTATTTATCTATTTATTTATTCATGTATTTATTTTTTTAGAGACAAGGTCTCATTCCCTCACCCAGGCTGGAGTAGTTGTGCAATCATAGCTCACTGCAGCCTCCAACTCCTGGGCTCAAGTGATCCTCACACCTCAGCCTCCTGAGTAGTTGGGACTGCAAGTGCATGCCACCATGCCTGGCCTTTTTTTTTTTTTCAGACAGAGTTTCGCTCTTGTCACCCAAGCTGGAGTGCAGTGGCACGATCTTGGCTCACTGCAACCTCCGCCTCCCAGGTTCAAGTGATTCTCCTGCCTCAGCCTCCTGAATAGCTGGGATTACAGGCAACCACCACCACGCCTGTCTAATTTTTTGTATTTTTAGTAGAGACAGGGTTTCACCATGTTGGGCAAGCTGGTCTCTAACTCCTGACCTCAGGTGATCCGCCTGCCTCAGCCTCCCAAAGTGCTGGGATTACAGGTGTGAGGGCCATTTTTTTTTTTAAGGTACAGATGGGGTCTTGCTATGTTGCTCAGGCTGGTCTCAAATTCTTGGGCTCAAGTGATCCTCCCTCCTGAGCCTCCCAAAGTGTTGGGATTATAGGCAGGAGCCACCGCACCCAGCCTCAGGTGACATTTTAATGGGGAGAGGATGGTGGTGCTGGAGTCATCCAAGGGACACGTCCTGATGCTGTTAGGAGCCAGCTAGAGTTTGGTCTTCCCTTAGTGCTGAGGTTAGGAGAGAGTTTTTCTGTGCCAAGAGCCCTGCAGTTCAGTGGGTGGGACCTGACAACTCCTCTTATAGGAAGACACCCTCTTGCTAGTCTTTTTTTTTTTTTTTTTCTTTTTTGAGACAAAGTCTTGTTCTTTCACCAGGCTGGAGTGCAATGGCATGATCTCGGCTCACTGCAACCTCCACCTCTTGGGTTCAAGCGATTCTTCTGCCTCAGCCTCCCGAGTAGCTGGGAGTACAGGCACCCGCCACCACATCTGGCTAAATTTTGTATTTTTAATAGAGAGGGGACTTCACCATGTTGGCCAGGATGGTCTCGATCTCCTGACCCTATGATCTGCCTGCCTCGGGTTTACAGGCATGAGCCACTGCGCCCGGCCCCTCTTGCTATTCTTCAGCAGCCTTGGAGTGAGAAACCTGAGGCCCCTGTCCTTCCCTGGAACAGAGAAACCTGCTGTCTCACATGCATATATGCACACACACACACACACACACAAACACACTGTACATGAACTTACACACAGACATCTAAGGCCGGGCGTGGTGGCTCACACCTGTAATCCTAGCACTTTGGGAGGCCGAGGTGGGTGGATTGCCTGAGGTCAGGGATTGGAGACCAGCCTGGCCAACATAGTGAAACCCCATCTCTACTAAAAATACAAAAATTAGCTGGGCATGGTGGCGGGTGCCTGTAATCCCAGCTACTCGGGAGGCTGAGGCAAGAGAATCGCTTGAACCCAGGGGTGGAGGTTGCACTGAGCCCAAATTGAAATTGAACCACTGCACTCCAGCCTGGGTGAAAAAGCAAAACTCCGTGTAGAAAACAAAACAAAACGAAACAAAAACCAGACATCTAAGCACGTTTGTACAAGCAGGTGCACGCAAACATGATGCACACACACAAATATACATATTTGTACACATACACACCTAGGCACAGCATACGAAAGCATTGCTAACTTAAGTCCAAATACAAGGTTGCCAGTCGGCTTCATGGGCATGCAGCCTATAACCTGTGCAGTCCCAGACGGCTCATTCTCAGAGGGCGCTGCACTTGATTTAATGCCCTACTGTTACAATATTGAGATTCTTAATAATTTTTGAACAAGGGGCCCCCACATCTTCATTTTGCACTGGGCCCTGCATGTACAGATGCACACACAGGTGTTCTCTATCTCATTCTGTCTTGCCCTCTCCCCTATCTTGACTTCACATTGGAAGTTCCCACACATCTCCATCCTCAACTCTGAAATCCAAGGGCTTAAAATGAAAAGGGAAAACTGCAGCTGGGAGCGGCTGCCCCTGCGGAAGGGGGGTTGAAGTAATGTCTGTCGCTGACCTGTAGGTGGCAGCACAAGCCGAGCCAAGCCTCAGCAGCGGACCGGAAGGAAGGAGGCGGGGCTGGGAGGAGATGGGTGTCACCGCGTCACTGGTGCAATCCTTCTACAAACGGCACGGAGATTTCCCAAAGCACAAGATTCTGCGAGGGATTGTCTCACTAACCCATTCTTCTACCAATTCAGTTTTAACAGTTTTCTTTCTTTCTTTCTTTCTTTCTTTTTTAATTTTCTGATTACAAATGCAACATTTTTTATTATAGAGAATAGCGTCTAAACGAAAGTAAAAATCATCCATAATTAGATACTTTTTGGTTCTTTTTATTTACTTATTTTAGAGTCAGGGTCTCACTCGGTCACCCAGGCCGAGTGCAATGGCGAGATCTTAGCTCAATGCTGCCTCGAACTCCTGGGCTCAAGCGATCCTTCCGGGGACTACAGGTGTGCGCCACCAGACCTGGCTAACTTTTTTTTTTCTATTTCATCCCGTGGCTAACAATGCCTGACTTCCTGGGAACGCAGCCCAGTAGCCCAGCCCCTGTTCAAAATGGAGTCACTCTGGTTTGAATGCCTGTAACAGTTCCAGCTCCCCCTTGGACCTCTTTTCCAGCACCTCTGTCAGCCTGGCTTACTTAGTGCTCCTCTGGCCAGCTCTGCTCCGCTGCGGGGGCCGCTCTTGGAGGAGGTGTGCGTGTCCCATAGGGGCACCTACACTGCACAGCGCCCCCGTGAGGGAGATGCACTGGCTCAGCAGCTCCCCATACTGCCTCGGGTCCTGCCCTCCTCTAGGGCACACCCCACAGCCTTGGCCTGCTGGGGTGTTCTCACCCAGTTGTCTGCCCCCTTGGATGGGCTCTGCGTGGCCACTCACGCCTCACTCCCTTCCTTGGGGTCCACGTGCATTTTGGAAGCTCCTTCATCCTGTGGCGTCATGGGGTGGAAGTGTGGCAGCCCCACTAGCCTCCATCCCCCGTGGTCTCCCTCCAACCCTCTCCTCCCTATCAGAAGGCAGAGAGCACAGCAAGGTCCGGCAGGCACGATGGGTTGTTCTCACTGGGGAACAAAATGTGAGTCTCCCCTTAGTGAAGACCGCCAGGCTCTACCATTGCTCCTCTGGGAGATATCCTCACCTGGCTTGGGGCAGAGGAGCTCACCCCAGCTCCTTCTTCACGGTAAGGGGGAAGGAAAAGCCACAGTTTTTCTTACCTGGCCAAGCACTCACCTCTCTGACACTTCTTCCCTCTCTCTCTAGCCCAGGTCTCCCTGGCCCAGAGGAGGGCCAGAGTGTGTTAGTGAGGATGTGGGGTTGCAGAACCCTGAGAGGGCATCTGACCCCCACTGTTTATGGTTCTCTGCAGATGTGGGCTCTTTGATGACTCTTTATCTGAATTTGGAGTCTTGAAAGTCCCCCTTATCATATTGCTACACTAACCAGATGCCCACTGATGGGAGCTTCAGATATTTCCACCTTGGGACTATTACAAACCACACCCACGGAGCATCCTTGGACACATCTTTTCATGCTCATGTCAGAATCGTCACAGCTCAATGGATTCTTCTTGCCCGCTGCCCTAGAAGAAACCAATGAGAACGGGAGGTGTTGCCACCTAGAAAGAGTTTAATAATCACAGGGCCTGCCAAGCAAGGGGAACAGGGAGAAATTTTTCAAACCCATTTCCCTGAGAATTCAGAGGCTAGGGTTTTTTTTAAGGGTACTTTGGTGGGCAGGGGGTTGGGGAACTGGAACCGTTGATTGACTGGAGATGAAATCACAGGGGCATCTAAATCTGGCCGGGCACGATGGCTCATGCCTGTAATCCCAGCACTTTGGAGGCTGAGGTGGGCGGATCACTTGAGGTCAGGAGTTCGAGACCAGCGTGGCCAACATAGAGAAACCCCGTCTCTACTGAAAATACAAAAATTAGCTAGGTGTGGTGGTGCGTGCCTGTAATCCCAGCTACTCAGGAGGCTGAGGCAGGAGAATCCCTTGAACCTAGGGGGCAGAGGTTGCAGTGAGCTGAGATTGTACCACTGCACTCCAGCCCGGGTGGAGAAGACTCCGTCTCAATAAATAAATAAATAAATAAATCTGCCTTCACGCAGCTGAATCAGTTCCTGGGAGTTGGGGTGGGTTGTGGTGGGGGTGGGCAGTCTCAGAACAAAGTGGTATCTGTTGGTTTATCAAAATGCTAAATCTGAAAAATATCTCAAAGACCAGTTTTTTTAGATTTCACAATAGTGATGTCATCTATAGGAGTAGTTGGGGGAATTATAAATCTTGCCACTTAACCCCCAGTTAAGTGACTCTGGACAGTAAGCAAATTATAGAAAAACAAGCTAAGCACTGGGCAGTCATTGTTTAATTCTGCCTATTCCTTAGCAAAGTTCAAGCCTCTACCTTAATTCTACCCTTGTCTTATGAATGCAGCTTCAGTCTTTGGACAAGGAGAGGAGTGGTGGGGGGAATCAGTTTTCCTTGCCTGTAAGTTTAGCTATAAACTAAATTCCTCTCATAGTTTCTTGAACTCTGCACTAAAATAAGCAAAAAAGCAATTTAGCCTGTGAGGTTAGAAGCAAGACGGAGTCAGTCACATTAGT
This sequence comes from Homo sapiens, assembly GCF_000001405.40. Lineage (NCBI taxonomy): Eukaryota > Metazoa > Chordata > Mammalia > Primates > Hominidae > Homo > Homo sapiens. The sequence continues at coordinate 36,975,650 of NC_000022.11, read as the reverse complement.
TTTCTCTAATTCATTACTTGTAATTATTATTATTATTATTATTATTTATTATTTTTTTTAGATGGAGTCTTGCTCTGTCACCAGGCTAGAGTGCAGTGGCGTGATCTGGGCTCACTGCAACCTCCGTCTCACAGGTTCAAGCGATTCTCCCGCCTCAGCCTCTCCAGTAGCTGGGACTACAGGCATGCACCACCACGCCCAGCTAATTTTTGTATTTATTTATTTATTTATTTATTTTGAGATGGTGTTTCACTCTTGCTGCCCAGGCTGGAGTGCAATGGTGCCATCTCGGTTCACTGGAACCTCCGCCTCCCAGGTTCAAGCAATTCTCTGCCTCAGCCTCCCGAGTAGCTGGGATTACAGGCGCCTGCCACCACGCCCGGCTAATTTTTGTATTTTCAGTAGAGACGGGGTTTCACCATCTTGGCCAGGCTGGTCTTCAACTCCTGACCTCGTGATCCGCCTGCCTCCGCCTCCCAAAGTGCTGGGATCACGGGTGTGAGCCATTCTGCAAAGGCAGTTTCAGTATTTCCGTGGGCTAGGTTTCTGAGAGTAATAGGGCATGTTTAGTTAAAATGTTATCGTGTAAGTTAACAAATTGCCTTCCAGAAACACACGAATTTGCACTGTCATGAGTGAGAGTGAGCATGCCCGTTTCCTCCTCTTCTCATGGACTTTTGCTGTCACTTGCTTTATTTTCAGTGATATGAGAGGTCTAATAGGATCACACAGTTGTTTCATTTTGCATTGCTTTATTAGTGAAATCGAGCACCTTTGCTCTGGAGGGCCTTGATTATGCTTGCAACCTTGGGAAGGGGATTCAGAGAGAGAGAAACAAACAGAGGGAACACGCTATTTGACAGCTCTGAAAATACAGTCCTCCAGAGCAAAAGGGCATCTTCGTTCTCCTCACAGGCACCGTCAGCCCTTATAGTCTATATCTCAGATAGGCAAATTCCTCCTGCCAGGTTTTAAAAAATATATTACTTTTGGCCAGGCACGGTGGCTCACACCTGTAATCCCAGCACATTTGGGAGACCCAAATGGTAGATCATTTCAGCGGATCATTTGAGGTCAGGAGTTTGAGACCAGCCTGACCAATATGGTGAAACCCAGTCTCTACTAAAAATACAAAAAAAATTAGCCAGGTGTTGGCCGGGCGCAGTGGCTCACGCCTGTAATCCCAGCACTTTGGGAGGCTGAGGTGGGTGGGTCACGAGGTCAGGAGATCAAGACCATCCTGGCTAACAAGGTGAAACTCCGTCTCTACTAAAAGTACAAAAAATTAGCCAGGTGTGGTGGTGGGTGCCTGTAGTCCCAGCTACTTGGGAGGCTGAGGCAGGAGAATGGCGTGAACCCGGGAGGCAGAGCTTGCAGTGAGCCGAGATCACGCCACTGCACTCCAGCCTGGGCAACAGAGCCAGACTCCATCTCAAAAAAAAAAAAAAAAAAATTAGCCACGTGTGGTGGCAGATGCCTGTAATCTCAGCTGCTCGAGAGGCTGAGGTAGGAGAATCGCTTGAACCCTGGAGGCAGAGGTTGCAGTGAGCCGAGATCCCGCCACTGCACTCCAGCCTAGGTGACATAGCAAGACTTCATCTCAAAAATAAATACATAAATAAATAAAATAAAAATAAAAATATATTATTTTTTATCCTCTTTCCATTCCTTCTTCGGTTTTCGTTGCTGTCTGCCCTAGTCCAGGGTCCAAGTGGCCATTGTGGGGAAGAGCCAAAGTCCTTCCATGACACTTTTTTTTTTTGAGACAGAGTCTTGCTCTGTTGCCAGGCTGGAGTGCAGTGGCACGATCTCGGCTCGCTGCAACCTCCACCTCCCAGGTTCAAGCGATTCTTCTGCCTCAGCCTCCTGAGTACCTGAGATTACAGCCACCTGCCACCACCCCCGGCTAATTTTTTGTAGTCTTAGTAGAGACGGGGGTTCAACATGTTGGCCAGGCTGGTCTCGAACTCCTGACCTCAGGTGATCTACCAGCCTCGGCCTCCCAAAGTGCTGGGATTACAGGCGTGAGCCACCGTGCCCGGCCTTCCATGACACTTTTAAGACTACTGTTAGCATTCAGAGGGTGTAGGTCTGTTGGAGTCTTCAAAGCAGAACAGCTATAAGAGAAACCATCTCGATATACAGGATTGTCCGTGTCAATCCCCTGTCACCACCATTCCCTTTGAAGGTTTCCTCTGGATGGCAGAGACTTCCCAGAAGCCCCTTGTGTGGTTCTAGCTTTGTTCCCCAGTGAGAGGCTCTAGAGAAAGATCTAGAAGACAGGAGAGAAGGAGAGGACACTGTCTTCTGAAGGTGCCAGTAGCCAAGTGTGGGGCAAGTGAGATGCCCAGCCCCTCCCTTGGGAGCTCTTGAAAGCCATCCTTGCCCATTAGTGGCAGCTTCTCCCACCCACTGGCGGCTTCTCTGGCTTTTGCTCTGCATGCTCTTTCCACAGTTGTTTTGGTTTTAAAAGGGGTTTTTGGAGACCAAATATTTGAATATAGGAATCTGGAATTGTTCTTTTCATCTTTTTAGATTTGAAGGCCACAGTGACTTCATTGCCAGTAGAAAGTGAGACACTAGCCGTTCATGACATGCTTTGACAAATCAGTTACCTAAATTAGCATCTGTAATTGCCTGGGGTCAACTGCCTATGGCAAGCAAGGCCTTGGGACATCAAGTAGCTATTGCAATATAAGATTCTTATATTAGATTCTTCTTGTAGAACCGGCGGGATTTTTCTGACCATACTGGAAAAAGTGGAGGAAAAATAAAGAGACAAATTTAGGACTGTAAATTTCCAGCTGAAGGCAGAGATAGACCACCAGAGAATTATTAGATTACTCTGAAAGAACTCCTTATTTCTTATGGTCACAGGGCCAAGATTTCTTTTCTCTATCTCTCTCTCTCAGTCTCTCTCTCTTTTTTTTTGGAGTATAGTGGCGTGATCACAGCTCACTGCAGCCTTTACCTCCCAGGCTCAAACGATCCTTCCATCTCAGCTTCCCAAGTGGCTGGGATCTCCAGGTGCGCACCACCAAACCTGGCTAATCTGAAAAATTTTTTGTAGAGATGAGGGTCTCCCTGTGTTGCCCAGGCTGGTCTTGAGCTCCTAGGCTCAAGTGATCCTCTCACCGTGATCTCCCAAAGTGCTGGGATTACAGGCAGGGCCAGGATTTCTAAAAACCAAACTCCAAGTAAAATAAAATACAAATTTAATTCATGACCTTGCTAGATCTCTTCTGTAACAAGGGATTAATTGGGAAGGAGAGAGACTCTAAGAATTAGAAGTGGAAATTTGGGCAGATTTTGATAAATCTGAATACCTTGAACCCCAGACTTCATCTCCCTAGTCATCAATAGCAGCTCTTTTCCCTACTGGAGATCAATCTTCTTTTGCCTCAAGACTTTAATTAACTCACCTGAGGCTGCTGCCCTGAAGGGACTGTTGATTTTACTCCCACCTTTTATTATTTTCAGAACCATAACATCCTGGCAGACCCTCGGGTAATGACGACCAAAGCTGATCTGGGAGGAGGCATTCAAACAATTGCAAGACCTTTGCCAATTTATAATGTCAGAATCCTGAGGAATACGTGAAGGAATGAATTTCAGGCTGCGAGACCAGGGCAGAAGGAACATAACGTTGAACAAACAGAACTGATGAAGCTGGAAGCGCTGGCTGGAGAGCCTGGCTTCAATCTGTCAGACGGAGCAGCTGGGGGCTGCTCTCATAGCTCACTGGGTGCTGCAACCCCAACCCAGGGCCCGTGGTCCATTAAATGCAGTCAGGATGCAGGCATTTACCTTGCTATATCATAGAGGAGGGGATTCAAGGCTTAGGCAGATAGGAACGTTGAAGTGTATTTATGGTGCGCAACCTGCTCAGCCTTCCCGGGGGATGATACAGAGGATGCTGTCTTCATTAAGCCTTTTTAAAAATACTTTGGTGTGATGAGACACAGTGAGGCCTATTGGGGATGGAGAAACCTAGTTCCAATCGGTCACCCGGGGACAGGGAGCTACACTACGGTGCAGATGTGCAGCTGCACAGAGACAAAAATATTATGTAATGAGCATGCGGAATGCCTGCTCAGAGTGAATTGTTGTTAGAACAAGTTTATAACAAGACATAATTTATAACGATGTGCAAACGCTTGCTGGCTGCTAGATGAAATACACAGTTAGCCTGTAAAATATCTTACCAAAACCAGTTCAACGGGAAATAGAGGCTGAGCACGTTGGCTCACGCCTGTAATCCAGCACTTTGGGAGGCCAAGGTAGGCAGATCGCTTGAACCCAGGAGTTCAAGACCAACCTAGGCAACATAGTGAGACTCTGTCTCTACAACAAAGAAAACCCCCCAAAAAACAAATAAATAGTCAGGCTTGGTGACGTGTACCTGTAGTATCAACTACCCAGGAGGCTGAGATGGGAGGATTGCTCGAGCCCGGGAGGTCAAGGCTGCAGTGAGCCATGATCATGCTTTTGTACTCCAGCCTGGGTGACAGAGCAATACCCTATTTCTTAAACAAACAAACAAACAAACAAACAAAACAAAAGGAAGTAGAAATGCTAGTGAGAAAGAAAAAAGATGAGAATGTTTCTGATGTTTATTTTAACCTGATACCCAATTTAATACTAAGCTTTGGAAACCCACGTGGAAGTTGACTGAAGGCAGAGACAGGCCTGGCATCTTGGAGTGGCATTTGCCTGGGACACAGAACCTTGAGAGGTGAATGCCAGCAGACATGTAGAAAAAGAAAGAGTGTTTTCAGAAAGCAAGAAGTCTCCTTTTAAATGGTAAAATACTAAAGAATAGAATAATTATAGAAAAAGTGGAGAAGTGTATTTAATAATCACTTATAAATGCATCAGGCCTAGACAGTTTAACAGGCAAGCTCTTTTGTTTTTAAGCTCATTTAAGATGTTAAGTTCTTACAAGGCAGATTACTTTTTAAGTAACAGATAATCCTCATGTTATTTAAATAATACCAATGGAAAGATAAAGATGGAAGGAATATCCCCCAATTCGTTCAATGCAGCTATTATATCTTAAAATGTGGGATGAAAACACACAAGGCCCTTTAGAAAGAAAACCCAAGATCAAGAGGATGATGCCTCTTTGTACAACGAAGGTCACCTAGCTGCTAATCAGAAACAGTTGCAGGCTAGAGTTTAAAGCTAGAGAAAAGCCTCAAAGCCAAGAGTGTCGCTTTACCTGAACTTAAACTCCTGTCTCCCAGAAAAAAAAAAAAAAAAAAGAACTCTGCTGATGTTAATAAAAGCGTTAATTTACTCATTGTTGCATGTATTAAGTCTCTTTGAAAAGTTTAATTATTTCAAATGCATGTGATACATTGCTGAGGCTAAATTACATAATTCATGAAAATTGATGATGGCTCAAAAATTAGTCAGTGTACATAAATGATTCAACAGTAAGCTTAGCAGATTTCTACAAAAAAGCATGATATTCATAAACTGTGAAACCTCAGTGGATAATTGCAGCATTAAGAGATCTCTACTGTTCTCTTTTTACGATACCAGAATTTTTGAATATATGGTATTTGACAGCTTTTTAAATCTTGAAATCTAAGTGTAAAACAATTCTTTTTATTTATTTTTCTTTTTCCCTTTTTATTTTTTAGTGACAGGGATTTGCTGTGTTACTCAGGCTGGAGAGCAGTGGTGTGATCACAGCTTACTGTAGCCTTGAACTTCTTCTTTTTTTTTTTTTTTTTTAATTTGAGGCGGAGTCTTGCTCTGTTGCCCAGGCTGGAGTGCAGTGGTGCAATCTTGGCTCACGGCTAATCTCTGCCTCACCTCCTGGGTTCAAGCAATTCTCCTGCTTCAGCCTCCTGAGTAGCTGGGATTACAGACATGTACCACTATGCCCGGCTAATTTTTGTGTTTTTAGTAGAGACGGGGTTTCACCATGTTGGCCAGGCTGATCTCAAACTCCTGACCTCAGGTGATCCACCCGCCTCGGCCTCCCGAAGTACTGGAATTACAGGTGTGAGCCACTGTGCCTGGCCAGCAAGAGGCTTTTGAAAAGATTTACCAACATCTCAAAGGGACAGAGAAATCATTTTCAATGACAAATTTTCTAAAGAAGATGCTCTAAAATAAGGGAGGTCAGGGCCTAGACTCAATGAGAAGCCATCTGAAGTCAAACCAAGCTGAGGAGAACTTTAAGGGCATTTTGGTTGGAGCTCTCTGTCACCTGCCACTGGTGCCCAACCACAGGAGCCTTCTGGTGTGGTCTTAGTCGGAGGCTCATTTTATTAAAACGCCTCACATGGCCACTTGGAGATGGAGGCAGAAACATTTCCCTGGACATAGACCCTTGAGAGGTGAATGCCTGCTGTCATGAGTAGAATATTTTTTTAGTAGGATCAAGATGACTTTTCAGGAAGCGATGCTAAGTCTCTCGAATGGTGAAGCATTTGGCATTCTCTATGCAATCTCTCTGAAGACAGGTGTGTGCAACACCAGGAATTTGTCAACATAGTTTTGAACTTTCTGGCAATTGTGATTGAATAGGAATAATATGTAAAATAACTATTAAAAATAAGAGACAAAGCTCATAATTTGAAGAAGATAGGCTTGTATGTCTAGAAAGCATGTAAGATTTAAATAAGAATTATTCAACGAACAAGACTTCGAGAAGGAGCTGGGTATAAACTCATTACACAAACATCCGTAGCTTTTCTTTGCACTAATAATAATCATTTGCAATAAGATAGGTTGGGAAGATATTGGCCACAAAAGAGGAAAATGAAGAAAGCAAGCAAGCAAGCAAGAAAAAGGAAGGAAGGAAAAAGAAGGAAAGAGAAAGAAAGAAAGAAAAAAAAAGAAAGAAAGGAAGGAAGGAAGAAGAGGAGTAGGAGGAGGGGAAGAAGGAAGGAAGGAAAAGAAAAGAAAGAAAGAGAGAGAGGTGGGAGGAAGGTGGAAGAGAGAGAGAGAGAAGGTAGGCTGGCACTGAAATCTTAAAATCCTGGAGATGAATCTAATAAGAACCTAGGAAAAAGCTTTTAAAATTTGCTGAAGTAAAATTCCCAAAATAAGTGGAAATCCATAATTATTGGATCAAAAGAGCCAGTATTACAAAGTTGTCAAAACTGTCAGATCTTCCCAAATTAAGAATTAAATTTAGCGCAATTCCAATAAAAATTCTAAGAGGACATTTTTATGACTTGATAAATTGATTCTAACAATAATTTGGAGGAATAATAGCGTAATCGTGTCCAATAAAATGTTGAAAAGGAAGACTAATGAGTGAGGATGCCAAATATCAAAACACTCCATAAGTTATAGCAACTGGAAAAGCATGACGTAGTCATAGGAATACAGAAGTGTTCAGAGGAACAAATAAAAATTGTCTTAGTTAGCTCTCACTACACATTGAACCTAAGACCCCATGATACCAAAAGCATCAGAACTTTCTTCTTGTGCGAAGAGGGAATCATTCTTTCTTTCTTCTTCACTGTTGTCTTTTATTATTATTATTATTATTTTTAAAGCAGACTATGGCCTGTAATCCCAGCTACTCGGGAGGCTGAGGCTGGAGAATTCCTTGAACCTGGAACCGGGGAGGCGGAGGTTGCAGTGAGCTGAGATCGCGCTACTGCACTCCAGCCTGGGTGACAGAACGAGATTCCGTCTCTAAATAAATAAATAAATAAATAAATAAATAAAACTAAGCAGACTATGTCAAGGTCTTCATGCCCCTTCCCAGAAAAGCTTGCCTTGACTTTAACAAGAAAGAATTGTATAATGTCTGCAAGTTATTTGCTCAAAGTTGCCTTCTCAGAATTATGCTGAAAAGCCCTCTGTGCTTGGAATTCCACTTGCCTGCTGTGTATGTATGTATGTATATACTTCACTTAAAAATCAGAGGAAAGTGGCCGAGCACAGTGGCTCACGCCTGTAATCCAAGCACTTTGGGAGGCCAAGGCAGGCGGATCACTTGAGGCCAGGAGTTCAAGACCAGCCTGGCCAACTTGGTGAAACCCTGTCTCTACTGAAAATATAAAAATTAGCTGGGCGTGGTGGCGCACACCTGTAGGCTGGAGATATAGTAGGCATAATCCCAGCTACTCAGGAGGCTGAGGCAGGAGAATCACTTGAACCCGGGAGGTGGAGGTTTCAGTAAGCCAAGATCACGCCACTACACTCCAGCCTGGGTGACAGTGAGGCTGCCTCAAAAAAAAAAAAAAAAATTAGAGAAAAGTGATGGCATCATCATCCCAAGCGGTAAAAGACAATTGTGATTCAGTGTCACGTGGGCCTGGAAACTCCTCCATTTCTCCATTGGGCTGTTGCAGAGGCTCTCTTGCACATGGGCAGATACTGCTGGTGTTGCCATCGTGCAAAGGAGACGTGGTGTAAAGCCAGACTCTAAGAATGTCCAGGAGATTGAAGAATCCCACCTTCAAGCAGAGGTCTGGAAGCAGTGCTGGGATGTCTTGTCTGGATTGTGCCTGGCAATGTAATGAACAGGAAATAAAGAGACACGTTCTTTGATGAATCTCAGGCTCTTGGGGTTGCACAACCATTTCACGGGGATCAAGATGAATCACTTTGTCCTCTGTTCCAGCGAGGGGAGGCCTTCCCAACCTCAGCCAGCCCTAGGGGCACACCAGGAGCAGCAGAGAATGGCTTCCTAGAGCCCAGGCAGCCCCGGGATCCCAGAGAATGATGTTCTGGGCCTGGGAGGCAGATTTGGATCATGCCTGAGAATTCACCAAGCTGAGCCGCCCCCATGTAAGGCCACTGGGAATAATCCCAATAGTTTCCACTTGTCAGCCTCCAGTCAGAGGGAGTCTGCCTCTCATGGTCAAAGTTGCCAGGCCTGCAGACAAAACACTGGGGCAAGGCAGGTCCCCAAAGCCATCGTGGAGCAGGATTGGTCCAGGATGAAGCTTTCACTGCCCATTCATGGGAGGAGAAAACCCTGGAAAATGAAGGCAAGGAAAATGGCCAGCTGCCTCTGTTTGAAAAGGGCCATCCTGCGCGCTGAGATCAGAATTCTTTGATTACTTCGTTTGTATTAAAATGTCCCTTTTTACCAGCCTGGCCAACATGGTGAAACCCTATCTCTACTAAAAATACAAAAATTAGCTGCGCGTGGTGGCACACACCTGTAATCCCAGCTACTCGGGATGCTGAGGCACGAGAATTGCTTGAACCTGGGAGGGGGAGGTTGTGGTGAGCTGAGATCATGCCACTGCACTCCAGCCTGGGCAACAGAGTGAGACTCTGTCTCAAAAAACAAAAAATAAAATAAAGTAAAATAAAATAAAATAAAATAAAATAAAATGTCTTTTTTTTAAAGTAGAAAATGATGTTGATAGTAAATGATATTTTCTTTTTTATTTAAAAATAAAGTTGTATTTTTCTTTCTGTTTTTAAAAATTTTTTACTCATCAATATAATTGAAAACTGTCTAGAAACCACATCTGTAGAGGTAGGGAAACAGAGAAGTAAGTTGTAATCAAGAACAACAAGGTCTCCAATCTGAGCTTTGTAGAACAAACTCCAGCATGGGGAAGAAGGCAGGAACTCAGTTGTCAGAGGCCACACAGGGTGGCCCAGCTCTCAGAAGCAAGGGTGGGCCCAGGGATGAGGACAGAGGTTCAAGGAAGTATAGGCACAACTGTGACCCTGTGAACCCCTCCTTCCCCGGGTCAGGGCTGGTCCTGGAGCTGAGGATGGAGCTGAGCCTCCAGCCGGGCAGTGGGGGAGGGTGTCTCAGTCACAGAAAGAGGAAGACCCAGGAACAGGAGGCAGACAGGTCACCACTGAGAACAAGAGAGGCCTGGACAGGCAGATTCTGCAAGTGTGGCTCAAGGCATGCAGCTGCCTCTATTCCCCATTTTTGGCTCAGATGACCCCTTCCCATAAGCAACCATGTGTGTGGGCATTTCTCTGGCCTTAGCAGAACCAGTGGCCTAGGGCAAGGCCTCTTACAAGAGACAAAGTCACTGGGAGTAGGGGATAGGGGGCTGGGGGGTGGCCAAAGAGTCACATTCTGGCACGTGGAGCTTGAGGTATCTCGTCTCTGGAACATACAAGGAAAGAGGTTCTATAGGTCATTGAATTCATAGCTCTTAGGTTTGGGGGAAGAACACTTACTTAGGAAAACCTTTAGGTAAAACCTGAGAGAGCCTGCAAACTTGAAAGCAGAGCACGTAGACCGGGATGAGAAGAGGAGCCCTGGAGACCCCTGAGGACACTGGTGCCTAAGGGCCTGGCTGAGGTGCTCGGGAGGCCAGGAGGGGAACAGAGAAGGGAAAGTCAGAGCGGGAAGGAGAAAGCAGAGTGTGGTGGGAGGCATAAAAATGGAGAGACTTTTAAGGCTCTAGGAGTGGCCATGGTGCTGGTGTTGTGTCTGAGAGGTCAAGGCAGGGGTGAATCCATCTGGTTATGTGATGTGGAGCTCCTCTGTGATGCTGGCGGAAGACCATTCTAAAGCCAGGTCATAATAAATAGAGAGAGGAGTGAATAGGAAATGGGAATATGAAGACAGCTTTTTGGAAAAGCTTGATTAGAAAGAGGAGAAAGAGATGGTATGGAAGCCTAAGGTGGATACTTGATTGGGGTGAGGGAAGGGGGAGTTTTTTTTTTTAAGATGAAAGACAGTTGGTTATGTTTTCAGGTCCTAGGAAACATACCAGAAATTAACGAGATACAAGAAAAACAGGGAGTCTATTAATGGGGTGAGGAATGTGAGAGGGATAGACGCTGGCTCATACTTGGTGGCAGTGTAGGAAAGTTGAGAAACAGTGACTGGGAAACAGGGATTCTCTGAAGCTGGGTTTATTAATTCCAAATTGCCAAGTGTCTGTTGTTGGGGACATTTCTGACATTGTGAATGTGTGATCATGTGATCCCAGGTTACATCCAATCTAACCAGCAAACAAATGTCTGTCATAAGAACAAATGATTGACTGCTGCCTAACAAACCACCTCCCAAGCTTAATGGCTGAAAACAACAACCATTTATTATTTGTCACCATTCTGTGGGTTGGCTAGGCTCACCTGGGTGGTTCTTCTGCTCCACAAAGCAGGTGAGGTCATTCATGTGGCTGCATTTAGCTGGGAGCTTGACGAGGGTGGAGTGAGAGAGGGCTTCACTGGCTTATTCCCCTCCACATGGCTTCCCATCCTCCAGGGTTTCTGTCTCCACATGGCCTCTACAGTAGGAGAGCCTGGACTGCTTTACACCATGGCTGACTTCTAAGAGAGCAAAAGAAGCTGCAAGGCCTCTTAAGGCCTAGTCTCAGAAATCATATAGCTTCACCCCCACTGCCTTCTACTGGCCAAAGGAAGTCACAAGGAGGCCCAGACCCAAGGGGAGGGGAAAGAGATTCCACATCCTTATAGGAGGAGCTGCAAAGTCAGAAGGTGGAGGAGCATGCAGGATGAGAGGGACTGTGGTCACCAAGTTTGGAAACACCTGAGCAGAGTACATCTCAGGAGTCACTGTTCTAGCTGAAACTTCATTCTCAAACATAGGGAAGCATTTCAGATGCAATTTGCAGTAAACATATCTTATGCTTTTTAAACTGCTAAGTGAATGTGAATTAGATGGAAAAAATCATTTTAAATGAACATTATAATTATGCTTTTATTACATAAATGTGCATTTGTGGTAAAATTACAAACAGTGTTTTACAAAAAGGAAAAACGGAAGTCAATTGAAATTCCACTCCCTAAATGACATGCGCAGCAGGCATATAACCCCGCAGGCTCTTGGACTTACAAACAGAAACTCAATCTGTAATTCTTTCAGCCAGAAATCCCTTTTCTGACAAATTAATTCTTAAAAGATATATAGTCCTCTTTGAATAATCATTGAAAATCATTAAGTGGAACTTGAGACGTTATGGGAAAAGGAAAAGTTGTTGAGTTTAAACCTTATTTTCTGGATGTCTAGTATATGTCTGGGAGTATGGTAAGCTTTGAGGATTCAAAACTGCACAAAACCTACCTCACCTCTGCTCTCAAGCTGCTTATGGGACAATAGGAGAGACAGACACACAAAAAGAGAATTTCAGTTAATTGCGGTGGGAGCTACAGCAGAGGGGTGCACTGAATGCCAGAGGAGAGGAAAGGGAAGAGGAAGGGGAGGGAATAGGAAGGGGAGGGAAGAGGAAGGGGAGGGACGAGGAGGCAAGAGGAGAGAGAGAGCAAGTTTCTTGCCTGCACCTAAGGAGAGGGTCAATACACCAGGGCAAGAGGGAAAAAGGGAAAACATGAAGGAACACAGGCAGATGGAAAAAGAAATTTATGAAAGAAGAGTCTTTGATGCTACATTATGTCCCAGGTTTGGTTTTGTTTTTAAAATTTCCATATTCAAATTTTTTTCCTTTCTAAAAACTTGTTTTATTTTTAAGTAAAAATACCCCAAGCCACATGAATCATGGTTAGCTTAACAAATCATTGTAAGGCCAGGCAAGGTGGTTCATGCCTATAATCCCAGCACTTTGGAAGGCTGAGGTGGGAGGATTGCTTGAGGTCAGGAATTCGAGATCAGCCTGGGCAACATAGTGAGACCCCCCGTCTCTACCAAAAGAAAGTATTTAAATTAAATTTAAAAATAAATCATTGTAAGGTGAATATCCTTGGATGGCTCCCCGCCCTACACCCCGCACGGGAGACAGAACCTTGCCACCCATCCAGAGCCCTGCACTGCTCCCAGACAAACCTCCCAGTCCCCCAACCCAGGAATCCAGTGTGCTAATTTCCACGTCAGGGTCTCTTATTTTCTCACGTTATTTTATCACCCTGTGTGTATCTCTGAACACTGTCGCTTGGTGTTCCCTGTTTTTAATCTATAATTTCCCCTCCACTTCTCTCTTTTTCTTCTTCACAATGTATTTGCTTATGCAATTTTTCCCACATACTTTTTGTGCTGAAATTGAAGTAGTCAGTTGTAAACGCATATTGATTATTTCAAGAGTAAAATGCTGCAATAAGTAATGATTATGAAAGCTATTAATTTTATGAAGAAACACAATAATTAAGAACTTTAGCTGAGTAGAAAAAAGATTGATTATTAATACAAATATTAAGAGAGTGCATTTGCTCGATCATTTTAGGAAGAATATTATAGACTGTTTGAGCTTATAAAGTTTAAATAACAATAAAAAGCAGAACAATGGAGATTTAATTGTATTATAAATGTAATATTTGTAGAAATTTTAGAGAAGTAGCAGTTCTCACAAGAAACAAAATCCCTTTTAAAACTCTTTCATTTTTTTAGTGGCTTAATTTCATTTAAGCCAGGGGTCCTTGAAGCAAAAGCACTATTTGAGAATTCTCTACATCTTGTGAGGAATACATTAGAAGCAAAATGTCGACTTTGTCATGTCCAAAGATAAAACAACTCTAAAATCAGTACATATCCAAGATAAATCATCTTTGAGTCAGACATAATAAAGACAATGGAGAGAATGAGGAAAGACATTGCTAAAAATAAACAAAGCACTCCACACATGTTTTACTCTGATTATTCAAATGCAAAACAACAGACTTTACAAGAATGCTTTAGGAAGGCATTTCCTCACAGTTTTGAGTCTCTGGAGGGTAATTTAAACAAAATGTTTATAGAAATGACTCCTATAGATGGCCAAGCATTTTTGGAAATCGAAGATGAAGGCTTTGGGAATCCTCTTGAACCATTAATCCTAAGTGCAGAGTTCCTTCTAGGAGCAAATTACCAGAAACTATCTGAATAATGTACCACTAAGCCCTGAAAGATTAGGGATATTATCCAATGGGCTTGTTGAACAGGAGTGTTTATTAAGCATGGCGGGAATGTGGGAGAGGAAATCCAGGAGCCATGTGTAGCAAACAGTGTTGAGAAATTGGTATTCTTCCCCAGAAAAATGTCAACATTTAAAGTTTGGATACCAACATTGGTAATGATGAAACTGTAGTAAGTGTCTGTCTCTGGACTGATGGTATTTCAGGTTTATTCTCGTATCCCACAAGTGTGTTCTATGATGATAATGGTGCTTAGACCTTCTTAAGAGTCCCAGGCTCTGCTTATGAAGATGTCAGCAGAACAGAGAGGGCTGGAGCACCCCCCAGGCTCAGAGGGATGCTGGGTCACAGGAGGACCAGGGATGGAGGTTGAAGGGCTCCCCCAGGCACATGGGGGTTGGGGACTAGAATATAGACTGATAAATACCTTCCAAGACCCAAATTTTACAGATGACGAGAGCTCAGAGCCAGGTTCAGAGACAGTGGGGGAGTACATCTAAGTTTACACAGCTACACAGAGGCTAAGTCGAGGTTGGAGCTCATCTCTCTTGGGAAGAACATAGGTCCTTCCTGATGCTTCTAAGGTCCTGTTTCCAATCATCCTTTTTGGGGCTCAACATTTCTATTGTGAGCTCATTATCTGTGAATCCACCTAAATCTCATCATTCTATTTTTCAGCCTGAACTCACCCTCCACACGCGCCTGCCCAAGTATGAGAAGATCTCCAAGGTAACTTTCCTACAGAAAATGGCTGTGTCTCTATCTGAAGCCCAAATGTTCAAGCACACACTCCTTTAATTCCCCTTTATGTTCAGTTCCCTTCCTGATGTTGCATATTCCACAAAAGAGGTTTTCTATTCTATCACCATCTCAGCCTCTGGGAGGTTCTCCAGGAATCTGTCTGGAAACCAGGACTTGGAGTTTATCAGAAAGAAACTGGCATCAGCTTAGAAAACCAGCAAGGCAAGTGGAATGAGAATGAGGGTGGGTTAGAGATTCACCCCTTCCAAAGAGAGAATAGATTCCACTCCATTGCCCCATAGAGTTTTTTAAGGACATACAGTCCAGGAAGCCTCTCCTCTCAGGACAGGCTTGGAACAATTCTGGGAGCAGGTAGCCTTGGCACACGAATGAAATGAGGATGCATGACTGGGGCCCAGGCCAAAGGGACACTGCTGTCCAGGGATTGACAAATGGGGCCCCCAATAACACCTGGGATGCCCACGAGCACCTTCAATGATAAACTAACTCATGTAGACAGAACACTTACATGCTGTGATCTGTCCAAGTGCATCATACATATCTACTAAAAATCCATATAATAATCCTGAGAGTGAGGGGCTACTATAATCTCCGTTGCACAGATCAGAAAACTGGGGGTCAGAGAGGTTAAGTAACTTGCCCAAGGCCACACAGCTTGCAAGGGGGCAGAGCTGAGATTTAAACTCAGACAGGGTGGTTCCAGCTACACAATCAATCATTACAGGATATTGCTTATCCTGACACCACCTTCCATAACTGAGTTACAGGAAATTTACCCTTCTGGTCAATTTTCATAGCTGGACCCAGGACCTCCACAAGGCTCATTGATCATTGTTTAGTTTTAAAGTATTTTATTGTTTAATGTTTTTATAAAAAGATACTTTAGAATTTGCAGTTACCACTGTCTGTAAGAAGCTTTGGCTTTGATATTTTCCTGTGTTCTACTTTCCACATACCACATACATTTCTGCATTGCACACACATTGCAGCCTGGCCGGGGGTACTGAGCTCTTGCCACTCAGGGAGCTGGGAGGCTGAGAGGCATCTTCCTCACCGAGGGAAGGGACCAGCAGTGTGAGTCTCTCTGCACTCTCTTGGTGGGTGGTGAGGGTAGACATTTCCTTGCGGCAATAAGATGCAGCTTCCTGAGCTCCAGGCAGCAGAAATCCCCCGCAGACCCTGTGCCGGGTCAGTTTTCCCAGGTCCTAATGTTTCAGGGCATGGCTGTGGGAGGAGGGCACGAAGGATGAGTCCAGCACCAGCAATCCTCTGAGAAGCATCCTCCTACTTCCACTCTGTGCACATCTCAGACTGAGCTCCTCCTGGCCAGCCGTGGGTCTGGTGCCTCTCTGCATTCCCAGTGTGGTGAAGGGGTTCAAGGAAGCCAAGTGGGACCATCCAAGACAGAAAGAATGCTGGGGACAGGACATTAGCTCAGACCCTTTATGTCCCCTGAGTACCCTCTCCATGCCAGCACCGTGATTTCACACACATGCAGGGGTGCCAAAGAGAGCTCAGGGTCCCCAGGGCGCCCCAGGCATTCCCTGAACACCCTCCAATCCTCCACTCCAGGAAAGACTTTCCCCACCAGGGAAGGGCATCCTACACTGTTCCCAGCCAGGTCCCCTTCCTGGCAGGCAGTAATTCAAGAATCATCAAGGCAGAATGTCAGTGGTTCCCACCATTCCCTCTCCTCCTCCCTGACCTTCTCCCCAACACAGGAAAAAGACAGGAAGAAAAGGTAGACACCAATCTCTGAATTCTAAACATCAGGACTCAATGTGCCCATCTCTGTGGCTTACACAGGGCACCCAGTCTTTATGTCACCAAGTGAGTTTCCTCAGTCTGTGTGCACAGCCTCATACCTGGCTGGATAGAACCAGAGATGCAAAGTAGAAAAGCATAGGCTCTGGAGCTTCTATCCTCAAGAAGTTGCTCATCTATCCATCCATCCATCCACTCATCCATCCATCCATCCATCCATCCATCCATCCATCCATCCACCCATCCATCCACCCACTCATCCATCCATCCATCCCTCCATCCATCCATCCACCCACCCACTCATCCATCCATCCATCCATGCATTCATTCCAATACCTTCCAATACCCAAATTTTCCAACACACAATTTCAAGTGCTAACTCTGTGCCAGGACATGTGCAAATAACCAGGGAGAGAGATATGAATCAGGTGTGTTTGTGGGGGGTTGGGGGTGGGCATGAACACTGAGCACTCCAGGACTGTATGGGAAGAAGGGACAGGGCAAAATAGGAACCAAGGAAAATACAAGTGATTTAGCTAACTCCGATCATCGGTTTCCATGTGACAGGCATTATTTCACTTGGTTCCTTCAAAATCATTTTGAGGTTTGTAGATGACCATCTCCAAGTAACAGATGACAGTTTTGGGGCTTGGAGAAGTAACATGCAGATAATTTGCACAAGGTCTCACTCTTAGCAATACTAGAGGTGGGAGTCCAACCCGGGTCTGTCTGGCTCTGGGCTCACACCAGCTGTGGTTATTGGAGCCACTCCCATCTGTATCCCCATGAGGAGTCAGGGAAGGCTGCATGGAGGAGGCCCTGCGTTAGCTGAGGCTTGAATGATGAATGGGAGTTTATAGTAATATTTTTCAGATTTATTCTGTGTTTAATTTAGATAATTTCAATTACTATATTTTCAAATTCACTAATATTAAGCCAATTCAATGACATTTTCTTTTCATATGTTGTACTTTTATCTGTGGCAGTTTTATTTGTTTTTATTTTGACATCTTCCACTTCTGTTATGTTCATGTTTTTGAAAAATTATTCGGCCTATTCATAATAACTGTTTCAAAGTCCTTGTCTGCCAGTTCCATAATGAGCTGCATCATTTTGGGGTTCTATCTTTGACGGATTTTTCTCTTGTTATGAGTTACATTTTCTTCCTTCTTTCTACATGTAGTAATTTTTTTTTTTTTTTTAGATGGGGTCTCACTGTCATCCAGGTTGGAGTGCAGGGGCACGATTTCAGCTCACTGCAACCTCCACCTGCCAGGCCCAAGTGATCCTCCCACCTCAGCCTCCCGAGTTGCTGGGACTACAGGTGCACACCACCATGCCTAGCTAATTTTAAATTTTATTTTATTTTTTGCAGAGACAAGGTCTCACCATGTTGTGCAGGCTGGTCTCAGACTCCTGGGCTCAAGCAATCCTCCCGCCTCGGCCTTCCAAAGTGCTGGGATTACAGGTGTGAGCCATTGCACCTGGCCTACATCTGGTAATTTTTGATTGGATGCTGAGCATTGTTTATTTTATGTTGGTGACTGCTGCATTGTATTGTCTTTCTTCAAAAAGTGTTGGACTTTATTCTGATGAGTCATTAAGTTACTTGCAGATCAGTGACATAGTTTGGATATTTGTCCCCACCCAAGTCTCATATTGAAATGTAATCCCCAATCTTGGAGGTGGGGCCTGGTGGGAGGTGTTTGGATCATGGTCGGGGGGATACCTCCTGAATGGCTTGGACCATCCCCTTGGTGATGAGTGAGCTCTTGCTCTGAGTTCACAGGAGATCCAGTCATTTAAAAGAGTGTGGCACCAGCCAGGCATGGTGGCTCATGCCTGTAATCCCAGCACTTTGGGAGGCGGAGGCAGGCAGATCATCTGAGGCTAGGAGTTTGAGACCAGCCTGGCCAACATGGTGAAACCCCGTCTCTACTGAAAATAGAAATATTAGCCAGGTGTGGTGGTGTGCGCCTGTAATCCCAGCTACTTGGGAGGCTGAGGCAGGAGAATAGCTTGAACCAGGGAGGTGGATGTTGCAGTGAGCTGAGATCGTGCCACTGCACTCCAACCTGGCAACAGAGCGAGACTCCGTCTCAAAAATAATAATAAAAACATAAAAAAAAACTAAAATAAATGTGTGTGGCAGCTGCCTCTGCACTAGTGCTCTCTCTCTCTCTCTCTCTCTCTCTCTCTCACTTGTACCAGCTTTCACTGTGTGACGTGCCTTCTCTCTTCACCTTCTGCCATGATTGTAAGCTTCCTGAGGCCTCCCCAAGAAACGAAGCAGATGCCGGTGCCATGCTTCCTGTACAGCCTGCAGAGCTGTAAGCTAATTAAACCTCTTTTCTTTATAAATTACCCAGTCTAAGGCATTCATTGATTTACAGCAATATGAGAATGACCTAATATGGAAAATATCCTACTCTCAGTGCCAATTTTCTGTATTAGGTCATTTTCATGCTGTCATAAAGAAACACCCAGGACCAGGTAATTTATAAAGAAAAGAGGTTTAATTGGCTCACAGTTCTGCAGGCTGTACAGGAAGCATGGTGCTGGCATCTGCTCAGCTTTTGGGGAGGCCTCAGGAAGCTTCCAATTGTGGCAGAAGGTGAAGGGAGAGCAGGCACGTCACAATGAAAGCAGGAACGAGAGAAAGAGAGAGAGAGATCAGCGTAGGGGTAGGTACCACACACTTTTAAATGACCAGATCTCCTGTGAACTCAGAGTGAGAGCTCACTCATCCCCAAGGGGATGGCCCAAGCCATTCACGAGGGATCCCCCAACCATGATCCAAACACCTCCACCAGGCCCCACCCCCAACATCGGGGATTACATTTCAACATGAGATTTGGATGGGGACAAAAATCCAAACCATATCAATCAGTTTGATCTTTTAAGGTTTGTTTTTAAGCTTCCTTAGAGGACTTTTATTATTATTATTATTATTATTATTATTATTATTATTATTGAGATGGAGTCTTACTTTGTTGCCCAGGCTGGAGCGCAGTGGTGCAATCTCTGCTTACTGCAATCTCCGCCTCCTGGATTCATGCAATTCTCCTGCCTCAGTCTCCCAAATAGCTGGGATTAGAGGCACCTGCCACCACGCCTAGCTAATTTTTGTATTTTTAGTAGAGATGGGGTTTCACCACGTTGGCCAGGCTGGTCTCGAACTCCTGACCTCAAGTGATCCACCCGCCTTGACCTCTCAAAGTGCTGGGATTACAGGCATGAGCCACCATGCTGGCCTAGAGCAGTTTTAGAATGGCCCTCTCCTGGGCTGGTTTAGTGCTGGCACTAAGGTGTTTTTCTTCTTGGTTCTCTACTGAATGTGTGAGGTGTTCAGTAAGAATTCCTATTCTGGCTTGTTGGAACTTGAACATCTCCCAGACCTTGGTGAGTTCTGGAAATTGTTCAGATACATCTCTCTGTGTACTATTTACACAGTCTAGTGGAGCTCCACCCCACACATGCATGGTTTAGTGTGCAGCAGTACATGCAAGAGGATCTCTGTGTAGATTTGCTGGGTCTCTTTCTCTGTGCAGCTCTTTCTTCTCTTGTTTTCTACACCAAATTCCAGCTTCTTTTGCCTCTTCAGACTCAGACCCCTATCGCCCAACACAGCAAGACTGCCATGGTCATGTTGGAGTTCTTTTACCTACGTCACAGTCAAGAAAGTGGTAGAAAGGTAGAAAAAGGTAGGCACGGTGGTTTATGCTTGTAATTCCAGCACTTTGGGAGGCCGAGGTGGGAGGATCACCTGAGGTCAGGAGTTCATGACTAGCCTGACCAACATGAAGAAACCCCCGTCTCAACTAAAAATACAAAATTAGTTGGGTGTGGTGGCGAGTGCCTGTAATTCCAGTTACTCGGGAAGCTGAGGCTGGAGAATCACTTGAACCCGGGAGGCGGAGGTTGCGGTGAGCCGAGATCACGCCGCTGCACTCCAGCCTGGACAACAAGAGCGAAACTCCCTCTCAGAAAAAAAAAAAAAAAAAGAAAAAGAAAAGAAAGGTAGGATGATCATAGGACCTACCGTGTTTGTTTTCACTCTCTGAGCGATCATATAGAAGGACTCCTCTTTTCTAACAGCTGAAAACAGATTTTTAATATCGTTTGTCCAGTTTTATACTTCTAAAGTAGAAGGCTATACCTGGTCCTAGTTACTCCATTATGGCCAGAAGCAGAAGCCTCTTCTCCCTCTGCCCATGCCTGTCTTTTGCCCCTCCTCCTCCACTTGGAGCCATTTGGCCCATTTGGGTGTTGACTTTGATGCAAGTCAGGGGTGCCTGCATTGGCGTCTGTGCATGTGGTTGTGGGTGTGTGTGTTTGTATAGTGCCTGGGTATACGTGAGTCCTTAAGGTGGAAGTGGGGCATGGGAATGGGGTGCAGGGGAAGTGGGCTGTGGGAATGGGGTCCAGTGGAAGTGGGGTGTAGGAATGGGGTGCAGGGGAAGTGGGGGATGGGAATGGGGTGCAGGGGAAGTGGGGCATGGGAATGGGGTGCAGGGGAAGTAGAGGTGTGACGGAAGTGGAGAGGTGTGAAATAGCTTCTTGGGAAGGGCAGAGTTCCTCCTTGCTGCTGGGAAGTGTCATTTGGGGTTCTGGCAGCGTTAAGAGCCTCCCCACAACCCCCGCCTCCGATGGTAATCCTGAATTTAAGTGAGACCAGCTGGTGTGGTTTTGTTCAGCTGAGCATGGCCAGGGCAGGAAGACTGAGAGTTCACCATTTTCTGTACCGAGAAGCCCTGCTGCCTCCTCAGGAACTCCATTCCTATCCTGTCCTCCTTCCTGGCTCGTTCCCAGCATCCTCAAGGTCTTGTCAGCGCCCTCGTAGGGTGGTCAGGTCCCATCAGGGTTGTCTGAGCATGTGTGTGCAGGTATGTGTAGGTGTGTATGTGGGTGTGTGAGTGGGTGGAGGCTTGCGTGTTTCATGGTTTCAGAAGTGTTGAGAAAGAAGAAAAGAAGACCTCTGTCTTTTCTTCTGACATCACAAAGGGCAAGAAACTAAGAAATGCCTCAGGCTCCTGCAGAGAAGAAGGGATGGGCAGTAACAGCTTGGGGCAGGTGAGGAAGGATGGTGGAGTGTTTGGTGTTGAGTGAGGTGGCCCAAAGGGAGTCTGTGCATCCTCAAGACCTGGGAGGAGACAGGCTCCATCTGTGGTGGGTGGATCCACAAAGCTTATCTGCCAAAATCACTTGAAGAGCTTAACGCAGCCCACTTGGGCATCAACCCAGTAGCACCCAATACAAACACACAGAATCTACACCAGCACTGCGGGGAAGGGTGAGAGTGGCAGAGGAGGAGATCCACACTAGGTGGAGAAGGCGCAGGACCAGGCTCCCCGTACCCCCAACATGGCCTTCTCCCTCCTCATCGGCCATATCCCTGGGAAGACGAGAGGGGTGGATGGGCCTTATCCTGGCCCACATCTCCTTTCTCAAGACCTGGGGTAGGATGGCAATTCATGGATGGAGGAATAACAAGACCTGGTGAGATCAGCTTGGCCTGGCTCCCAGCTGGGCAGGAACACAGGACTCCAGGGCATGGAAGACCCCACCCCAGCCCATGGCCAGCATCCACCTGTGCCAGCACCTGCCTGTCCAGAGCTGACCAGGAAAATGGTGCTGGCCTGGGAGCTGCTCCTCATGGCCCTGCTGGCCCTGTGCTGGGGACTTAGCCTGGCAGGGGCAGAAGGTGAGTTCCGTGGCTCCCACCCCTTCCCTGCCCCCTCCTCACTGCTGCACCCTGGAGGAGGCCCGCACCATACCCCCAGGACCCTGCCCACCCACCCTCCTCCTGCTCCCCTTGCTTCGTCTCTTCCCCGGCCTTCCCTGGGCTTCCTTCACTTCCCTCCTCCTGCACATTCCTGCTCATCCTGTCCTGGAAAGTCCAGCTGAGTGTGTCTGGGTTCCCAGCCCATATTTCTCAGCACGGCACTCCAGGCCCCCAGGCTCCAGGGTGGCTGCTCTGACCGTTTCCCTTCTCCTCCTTCCCCAGCAGACACTCGCTGCACCTCAGTGGTTCCACCTCCAGACCTTTGCTCCAGCAGCGTCCTGGCTTGGGGTTCATCTCAAGGCTGGGTTGATGCCTGGGGGTCTGGGGGGCAGGGCCTGTCGCTGCTGCGTGTCTCCATTCTGCAGGGATTGCACGGTGCTTCTGTCAGGAGAGGAGGGTCCACAGGCAGAAGCTCACCCTGGCAGACCCCCTTCCCAACCCAGGGCACCTCTGCCCCAGATCAGCTGGGGGTGGTGGTGATAAGGGACCCTGCAGGGGAGAGAGGTGACCCCTTCCTGCCCCTCTTGTCAGAAACCGTCCTGCTGCAGACCCTGCGCTGCTACAGTGACTATACCAGCCACATCACCTGCGGGTGGGCAGACACCCAGGATGCCCAGCGGCTCGTCAACGTGACCCTCATTCGCCGGGTGAATGAGTCTGTGACGTTGGGTGCAGGGGCCACGGGTAGGGGCTACGGTGTCCCCTCTGCCTGGCGTGGGATGGTGGTGTAGAGAGGGATGTGTCAGGTCAGCCTCGGGGTGGGAGTAGACAGAGGACAGAGGAGGACGGAGGCCCTCCCGGGAGCTCCTGCTCAGCCAGGCACCTGCCAGGCACTACTGTCTGATCTGGGGTTTCTGGGGAGCACGTTCTACACTGATGTCGTTGAGGATGGTGCTGGTAACAATGGTGACAATCTTCTCTTATTTTGTCACAATTTAACACAGTTGCCCCACATGACCTATCTTAGTTCCTCCTCACTGCGAGGTGGGCAGGGCCAGGCCACGACGCCCAGTTCACAGATGGGGAAACTGAGGCCCTGGAGGTGAGGCGCCAGCCCTGGCCACAGATGGGGAGTGGCAGAACAGGCCGTGTGGACGTGTTTGGGAGGGGGCTCCATGCTCTCCCAGGCTCCTCCTCTGCATGTGGGCTGCCACCTCTCCCACCCGAGCTCTCCTGGGCACGAACCACACAGGAAGGGGACCGGCATTGCTCTGCGGTGTTGGCCAGGGTCTGAATCAGCCTTAAATGAAATAATTAAGCCACTGGAACCAGAGAGGCAGGTGACAACTGATTGGAGGTCTCCCCACCTAGAGGGGGAGGGGGCCCCAGCTCTGCCACCCCCCACCCCTCCACCACCTTCAGTTCTCCTGGGGAGCTCCATCAGACCTTCTCCATTCTCCTCAAATACCATCCTGCCCCTCCCTGTGATCTGCTTCCTGTTGCTCTGACATAACAGGGGACCAGGGAGAAGCTCCCCACCCACCCCACACTCACACTCCCCACCCCCTCTGCCCACCACTGGGGCCTGGGCCTGGGCCTGGTTCTGGGCTGGGGCTCCTGTCTAAGGCTAGAGACCCGATGCAGTCTGGCCCTGTTGCTCAGGAACATCACGGCCCCCAAGTCCCCACTCTTCCCTGTGTCACCCACCGTGCCCTCTCCCAGGATCTTTCCCAATCGCCTTGCAAACCTGCCCCAACCCCCTCACAGATGCCCACAGGAGTGCAGCGCCTGGGCATCTCCTGAGCTCACAACCCTGCGGTCCCCCTTTCTCTGCTTCCCTTGACAGCAGCAACCCCATAAAGAGTTGTCCACGCTCATCATGTCCAGTGTCTTTCCAGCCATTTCTTCCTGAGCCCACTTCCCCAGGATGTTGCCCCCATCAGGCCACCCAAACTGCTCTGGTTCAAGTCAGCAAACATCCCAGGAGCAGAATCTCATGGTTGGGCCTCCGCCTTCTTCCTACTTGACCAGGGGCAGCCCCTGACAAGGAGGACCACCGCGGCCTCCCTGCAGTTCCTCCTGCACCTGACTCTGCCCACAGCTCACCCAGCACCCCCAGGGCCCTGCCCATCCTCCTCTTTCTCCTTGTCTGCTGCCTCTTTGTTCTCTCGGCTGCCAAGGGTGAAACGCCCCAGGCCCAGTCCATGGACCTCCTCTCTGCTGTATCCACTCTGCAGAGACCACCTCCAGCCATGAGGGCATCTCCCAAAGGCGACCTTGAGCCCACACTTCCCCTAAGCTCCAGCCCTCCAGGCGCACTGGCGTCTCCACCTGTCACTTAGACAACAGGCATCTCCGACTACAAAGGTCCTCAACCAAAGTCCCCCTCTCACCCGAGTGGCTCTGCTGCCTCTGTCTTCCCCATCTCCCTTTGCTAAATGGGAGCTCCTAGTGGCTCAAACTAAACAACAGGGAGGATTTTGTTTTGTTTTTAAGTCTCTTTTGCCACCATTCCTTTCCGACTGCAGCATCCGATCCACCAAAGAATGCCGCTAACCTTATCTCAAGCAGAACGCAAATTCACCCACAACAGCCCCACTGCCCTGGTGCACACCACTTCCTGTCCCCTGGATATTCCAGAAGCTTCCTAACAGGGTTCCCTGCTTGCAACATTGCCACATTCCCACCTCAGTCTGTTCACAACCGAGGACCCTCAGGAATCCTTTCAAAGCATTCATCAAAATCTGCAACGCCTTTGCTCATGACTGTTTCCCACTCACTAGCAGTGAGATCCAATCCCGATCCAAGACCCGGAGGCTTCTTCAGTGAGCGGTGAGCACTCAATGAACCTTTGCAGAGTGAGTGATCCCCATGCACAGTGGGCTAAGCTGTGTCCTCTCCCAGCAGAGACCCTCCGGAGCCCATGTCCTGCTACCTCAGCGATGACATGCTCTGGTCAGCCTGCCCCTGTCCCCACTGTGTGCCCAGGAGATGTGTCATTCCCTACCAGAGTTTTGTCATCAGTGACATTGACTACTTCTCATTCCAGCCAGACGGGCCTCTGGGCACCTGGCTCACTGTCACTCTGACCCAGCATGGTGAGGGACAGGGGGCCTTGGCTGGGGCCTGGTCCCCTGTGTGAACCGCCCTCCTGTGGTTTCTATTTCTAGAAGGAAACAATGTTGCAACAAATATTTATGTACCTATAGTTTTGGGTATGGGTCCAAGTATTTCTAGAAGCATAATAGTAAAGTCAAAAGGTGTACGTTTTTCATTTTGCTAGATATTGTCCAAGAAACAACTTCCCACTAAAATGATCAAGAGAATGAGAAGTCAAGACAAAGAGTGGGAGAACATGTTTGCAAAAGACATAACTTTCGGATAAAGGACTGTTACCCAAATTATTCAAAGAATTCTTAAAACTCAACAATAAGGGCCGGGTGTGGTGGCTCATGCCTGTAATCCCAGCACTTTGGGAGGCTGAGATAGGAGGATCACCTGAGTCGAGACCCTATCTCTACAACAAAATTAAAAAAAAAAAAACAATGAGAAAATGAACAACCCAATTAAAGACCAGAGTAGACACTTCATCAAAGAAGACATACAGATGTGAAAAGAGCGTATGAAAAGGTGCTCAGCATCATGCATCATTAGGGAATTGCAAATTAAAACGACAAAAAGATACCGCTACACACCGGTTAGAATGGCCAAAATCCAGAACACGGACAGCACCAAATGCTGGTCAGGGTGTGGAGCAGCAAGAACTCTCATTCATTGCTGATGGGGATGCAAAATGGTACAGCCACCTTGGAAGACAATTTTGCAGTTTCTTATAAAAGTAAACATACTCTAACCATATGATCAGCAATTGTACTCCTTGGTATTTACTCCCATGAGTTGAAAACATATCCACATAAAAACCTGCACATAGATGCTTATAGCAACCTTAACCGACAAAACTTGGAAGCAAAAAAGATGTCCTTCAGTAGGAGAATGGATAAATAAATTATGATACACCCAGACAATGGAATACTATGTAGCACTGAAAAGAAATGAGCTATCAGCCATGAAAGGACACGGAGGAAACTTAGCTGGATATTACTAAATGAAAACAGTGACTCTGAATAGGCTACATACTGTATGATTTCAACTGCATGACATTCTGGAAAAGGCAAAACTATGGAGAGAGAAAAAGGATCAGTGGTTGCCAGAGGGTAGAGTGAGGGAGGGAAGAAAAAGTGGAGCACAGAGGGTTTTTAGGGCAGTGAAACTATTCTGTGCCATGTTATAATGCTGGATACCTGTCAAGATGTATTCATGTAAACTATAGCCCTTGAGTGATAATTATGTATCAACATAGGTTTATCAGTTGTAACAAATGTACCACTGTTGCCATGGATTGAATGTTTATATCCCTTCAAATTAGTGCGTTGAAATCCTTTTTGCTTTTTTTTTTAGTTTCTTTTTTTCTAAGTTCATGTCAGATAGGTAATATGCCCACATGGTAGCTGACAGAGCAGAAGCATCACCATCTTGGACAAGCACTGCCATTCTAAAGTTCCCCTTGATCAAAAATTGCCTAAATCCAAAGGTCATCAGCCTAATGACTAAGGTCAGCATGACCATAAGCCACAAATGACATCTCCGACCAGAAACATTTCAACCATAAGATAAATCCCTCCCTGACCAGAGACAAGCCAGCCCGGAGATAACTTCCCCCCCGGCAGAGAGATGTCAGCCCCAACATAACCTCCCCTTCTGCCAGAGACATTCCAACCCCACCATAAACTTCTCCCCCACACAGAAACATTCCAAGCCTGTGATAAAGCTCTCTCACTCTAAAACCAATATATACTCTTGTTGTTTATGAGCCACCGGTCTATGTTATTTTGGTTATAGCAGCCCAATGGGCTAAGACGATTGTAGTGCAGGCTGTTGATAGTTGCAATAGAGAATCCTCCTGACTGAAATTGGCCAGAAGCCCCTTTCAGGTTTATTCTCCAAAATAAACCTGTTTTTGACTGTTGAGCCCCTTTTCTGGCTTCTTTCCTCTTTCTTTAACTCTTACAGTAACAAGGTTTGAAGGTGGCACATCTCACACATGCATAGGAACACCCAATCATCACGTCTATGAATTACAAAATAATCTGTGTTGAAATCCTACCCCACAAGGTGATGGATTAGGAGATGGGCCTTTTGGAGGTGATTAGTTCATGAGGGCAGAGGCCTTAGGAATGAGATCAGTGCTTTTATAAAAGAGACCTGAGAGACTCCCTCGCCCCTTCGGCCATATGAGGTTACAGTGAGAAAGCCTCACCTATGAGGAAGCAGGCCCTAACCAGACACCAAATCTGCCAGCATGTTGATCTTGAACTTCCCAGCCTCCAGAACTGTGAGAAATAAATTCTTTTGTTTATAAGCCACTGGTCTATGTTGTTTTGGTTATAGCTGCCCAGTGGGCTAAGACGATTGTAGTGTGGGCTGTTGATCGTTGGGGAGGCTGTGCATGTGTGGGGCAGGGATTATATGGGCATTCTGAACCGCCCACTCAATTTTGCTGAGAACTTAAAACTGTTCTAAAAAGTAAAGTCTATTAAAAAAATAGACTTGTATTTTATAGTACAAGAGTACCTGTACCCCCACACACTTCCCACTCTGGATATTATCAGTTATTTTCCCAGTAATATTTACCAATGTGGTGAGTAAAAGAACTACATCTCATTTTAATTTGAATATACAGCCACACCTCATCTTATTGCACTTTGTTTTATTGTGCTTTGCAGATACCGTGTTTTATACAAATTGAATGTTTGTGGCAGCCATGCTTTTGGCAAGTCTACCATCACCATTTTTCCAACAGCATGTGCTCACTTCATGCCTCTGTTATAGGACCAATGGGTTCATATGCCCACTGTGCAGTAACAGACCCATTACATAGTGACAGCAGGGTTTGCAGCAGAGAAAGTTTAATGATTGCAGAGTGCTGAGTGACGAGATGGGAGGAGGCCCTCCCGTTTATCTCACCAAGGAGCTTTGGTCTGGGGTTTTTAAGGGGATTATAGAGGGTGAGAGACTCCCTCCATAATTGGAAAATTGGGGTTGTTGATTGGTCGGGGGGAAGGGGGGATGAAATCATCACGATATGGAAACTGCATTCTTTGGTGAGTCAGCCCATTGTGGGGTCCTTCAGACCAGCTGGGTCGGTAGTTTCATCAGTGTATGGGACCTGAAGGACTATCTCACAGGGAAAACTAAACATTTTATAATGTTCACGTTGTTATCTACGGAGCAGTTAAGGGGAACCGTGATCTTGTAACAGGGTCTATGTGATTTTAGTACGACAGGCACCAGACAGCTGTGAGGACGCAGGCTGGAGAGCAGGCCGACCTCATGATGGAGGCCAAATGTGCTGCAAGCGTGGGTGACTTTTATTTCTCCCCCTTCCTTCTTCCCTGATTCATTTCATAAAGTTTATAGGGGCAGTTTCATCTCTGTGTCACCTTTTGGTAATTCTTGCAATATTTCAAACTTTTTCATGATTATTGTCTCTGTCATGGTGGTCTGAGATCTGTGATGTTATTACTGCAATTGTTTTGGGATGCCATGATCTGTCATAGAAGACAGTAAACTTAATCAACAAATGTTCTGTGTGCTCTGACTGCTCCACCGACGGGCCGTTCTCTTATCTCTCACCCTACAGTGAGAAGCCTTCATCTATGAGGAAGCAGGCCCTAACTAGACACCTAATCTAGCCTCCCTCATCCCAGAGACCCAACAATAAATAAATTAGGCCAGTTAATAACCCTACAATGGCCTCTAAGCTTTCAAGTAAAAGGAAGAGTTGCACACATCTCTTACTTTAAATCAAAAGCTAGAAATGATTAAGCTTCACTGAAAGCCTAGATAGCCTGAAAACTTGGCCTCTTGGGAAAATAGTCAAGTTATGAATACAAAAGAAAAATTCTTGCAGGAACTTAAAAATACTACTTCAGTGAACTCATGAATGAGAAAAGAAAACAGTCTTATTGCTGATATGGAGAAATTTTAGTGGTTTGGATAGAAGACCAAGCCAGCCACAACATTCCCTTAAGCCAAAGCTTCATCCAGAGCAAGGCCTTAATGCTCCTCAATTCCCTGAAGGCTGAGAGAGGTGAGGAAGCTGCAAAAGAAAAGTTGGAAGCTAGCAGAGATTAGTTCGTGAGGTTTAAGGAAAGAAACCATCTCTGTAACATAAAAGAACAAAGTGAAGCAGCAAGTGCTGATGGAGAAGCTACACAAAGTTATCCAGAATATCCAGCTAGGATGATTAGTGAAGGTGGCTGCACTAAACACAGATACTCAATGTAGACAAAATAGCCTTTTTATCGGAAGAAGATGCCTTTTATTTGAAGCTGCAATGCTTCAAAGCACAGGCAGAATCTCTCGTTAGGGGCTAATGCCACTGGTAACTTTAAATTGAAACCAATGCTCATTTACAATTCCAAAGAACCCTAAGCCCCTTAAGTATTGATACAGTTGGCCAGGTGCGTTGGCTCACGCCTGTCATCCCAGCACTTTGGGAGGCCGAGGCAGGTGGATCACGAGTTCAGGAGATCGAGACCATCCTGGCTAACACGGTGAAACCCCGTCTCTATTAAAAATACAAAACATTAGCTGGGCGTGGTGGTGGGCACCTGTAGTCCCAGCTACTCGGGAGGCTGAGGCAGGAGAATGGGGTGAACCCAGGAGGTGGAGCTTGCAGTGAGCCGAGATCGTGGCACTGGGTGACAGAGTGAGACTCCATCTCAAAAAAAAAAAAAAAAAAAGATACAGTTTGGCTCTGTGTCCCGACCCAAATCTCATCTTGAATTATACTCCCATAATTCCCATGTGTTGTGGGAGGGACCTAGTGGGAGATAATCGAATCATGGGGACAGTTTCCTCCATACTATTCTCTTGGTAGTGAATAAGTCTCACAAGATCTGATGGTTTTATCAGGGGTTTCTGCTTTTGCGCCTTCCTCATTCTCTCTTTGCCTGCTGCCAACCATGTAAGATGGGACTTGCTCCTCCTTGCCCTCCACCATGATTGTGAGGCTTCCCCAGCCACGTGGAACTGCAAGTCCAATTAAACCTCTTTCTTTTGTAAATTGCCCAGACTTGGGTATGTCTTTATCAGCAGCATGAAAACAGACTAATACAAAAATTATGCTAAATCTACTCTGCCTGTGTTTTGGAAATGGATCAGTAAAGGCTGACAGCACATCTGTTTACAGCATGGTTTAGGAATATTTTAAGTTCACTGTTGAGATATAATGCTCAGAAAATATATTTCTTTCAATATATTACTGCTTATTGCCAATGTACCTGGTCACCCAAGAGCTCTGATGAAGATACACAAGATTAATGTCGTTTTCATGTCTGTGAACATAACAGTTATTATGCAGCCCTTGGATCAAGGAGAAATTCCTGCTTTCAAGACTTGTTATTTAAGAAACACATTTCCTAAGGCTATAGCTGTCATAGACAGTGATTCTTCTGATGGATCTGAGCCAAGTAAATTGAAAACCTTCTAGAAAGGGTTCACTACTCTAGATATCATTCAGAACATTTGCGATTCATGGAAGGAGGTCAAAACATCAACACTAACAGGGTTTGGAAGATGTCAATTACAACTCTTATGGATGACTTTGAGGGATTCAAGACTTCAGGGGAGGAAGGAACTGCAGATGTAGTGGAAATAGAAAGAAAACTAGAATTAGAAGTACGGCCTGAAGATGTGACTGAATTGCTGCAATCTCATGATAAAACTTGAACAGGTGAGGAGCTGCTTCTTACAGAGGAGCAAAGAAAGTGGTTTCTTGAGATAGAATCTACTCCTGGTAAAGATGCTGTGAACATGTTGAAATAACAACAAAGGATGAAGAATATTAAATCAACTTAGTTGACAAAGCAGCAGCAGGGTTTAAGAAGATTAACTTCAATTTGGAAAGAAATGCTATCAAATAACATTGCATGCTACCAATAAAAATTTCATGAAAGGATGAGTCCATTGATGCAGCAAACTCCATTGGTGGCCAATCACAAAATTGCCACAGCCTTCAACACAACCCCAGCCTTCAACAACCACCACTCCGCTCAGTCAGCAGCTATCAACATCATGGCAAGAACCCCCAGCAGCAAAAAGATGACAACTTGAAGGCTCACATGACTGTTAGCATTATTTTTTTTAAGCAGCAAAGCATTTTAAATTGCAGTATGTACATTGTTTTTTAGATATAATGCTCTTGCACACTCAATATACTACAGTATCCAGCAATTAGTCACATTTCTTCACTGTCTACAGCCCTTAGCCGAATAGTTGAGTCATCTCAATGGGGATGTCAAAGCAAACTAAATATGGCCTGAGAAGGACTCTGTACTTCCATATTTGAGTCCTTGTGGATGAACTACAACCTAACTTAATAGGTAGACAGGATTGAAAACCTAACTTAGGAGTATGCGTCTGTAACAATCACTGAGTTTTGGCCAATCCCAGCAGATAAACTTCAACAACTCATACGCTGCTGAGCGTTCAAACTGTGTTCAAATAAGGCAATCGCCAATCTGTAACCAATCCAGCTGTTTCTGTACCTCAGTTCTGATTTCTGTATGTCACTTTTTTTTTTGTCTATAAATTTGTTCTGCCCATGAGGCACCCCTGGAGTCTTTCTGAATCTGCTGTGATTCTGGGGGCTGCCCAATTCACGAATTGTTTATTGCTCAATTAAACTCCTTTAAATTTAATTCAGCTGAAGTTTTTAACAGGAAGATAGAGGACAGAGAATGACAAATTTCCAGAACCAGCCAGCAAGAAACACTTTTAACACACACACACACACACACACACACACACACACACACACTAGCAGATGCACTGCGTCTGAGCTGGGCATTGAAGCCTGAAGTGAGCCTGGCAGTAGCTGGGCTCAGGGAGCTCTCAGTCTAGTTGGAACACAAAGCTGTGAGCCAGGAATTACAAGATGGGTAATAAAGGCAGGGGGACAAAGTTGAGTGGCAGGACAGAGAGGCTGAGACATGCTCTGTGATAGAAGCAGGAGGTGGACAAATGCCTATGCAGATGGGGCAGGTCCTCCGTGAAACCCCACCTCCAAGCCAAAGACAGTTTAAAGCCTGAAAGCCAAGCTACAAGTTAAATCATCCGACTGGACTGGATTGAGAACTTGTCTTTCTGTTTGGCATGCTTACCTCTGATTAGTCCTCACCCTTCACCTATTTTACATATACCTCCCTACCCTTTCCTAATTGGTTTTCTTACACCATTGTGCACAGCTTTGAGTGGTGTTGTCACTTTAACCTTTTTTGCATACTCACAAACCAATCAGCATACACTCCTCATTTTGAATCCATAAAGGGCCCCAGACCGAGCCACGTGGCAAAACCTCCCCCTACACCCCACCTCCCACCCCTGAATCCCCTTTCCACGGAAAGCCATTTTCATCACTCAATAAAATTATTCTCAGCCCTCCTCACCCTCCAATGTCCAGTATATCTTCATTCTTCTTGGGCGAGGTACAAGGGCTCAGGAACCACTGAACATGGGTACAAGTTATACAAGTTATACGCGATAGCGTGGCCGAGTGAGACCTGGGCAAGGCATCACTGACTGGGGGCCCCGGCTTGCAAAGTGACCAAGAAGAAAAGTCCTACATCGTTTGGGAAGACTTGGGGATTTCCAAGGGAGCTGGAGGGGCTGTGTTCTAAGAAGAACCCACACTTGAGTTAGGACTTGTAGGGTGACTCTGTCCCTGGTGGAGTCCTGATAAATAAGCAACAATGAGGAAGAGGCCCCAGGTTGGGGAGGGCCCCAAGTGGGGAGAAAAGTCATCAATTATTCTCAGAGACAGCTAATCACAAACAACCAGGCACAACAACCTCGTTCTGCTTGTTCTGCATGTAGCCCTCTTCAACGTGACTCTATGAAACTTCCCTTCAGCCACTGCCTCTTTGCAGACAGCCCCTTCTCTGCTCATTGTAATTGCGACCTTGCAAC
This sequence comes from Homo sapiens, assembly GCF_000001405.40. Classification (NCBI taxonomy): domain Eukaryota; kingdom Metazoa; phylum Chordata; class Mammalia; order Primates; family Hominidae; genus Homo; species Homo sapiens. Next base: position 36,942,595 of record NC_000022.11, on the reverse strand, counting down.
GTATTTTCATACCTTCTCTAATAAATCTGCCTTTCTTTACCTACAACTGGCTTGGTAAATTCCTTTACCTCCTGTGCCACCAGACCCAGAGAGTTGCTACCTGCGTCACTGGGTAGATGAAGTTACCCCTGCTCAGGACACCCAGCATGACCCATGGCCCAAATCACCGCATTTCAATGCTTTGGGCACACTGACCCTGCACCCGGGCTGCCCAGCTTCTATTGATTGAGCACCACCGGATGCAGGTTGCCTTGTTGGGGTTGGGAAAGGATTGTTTCCAAACGAAGGAAAGGCTCCCTCTAGGAGCAAACGATTGTCTTGGTGCAAGGGTTCTGTGTGATCAATTAAACACGTGAAATGCTTGTGAGGCCCAAGCTGCTGATGGTCTCCAGCCCTGCTCCTTCCTTATGTAGTGTGTTCTCAGGGTTCCCCACCATGAAGGGCTCCGGGACTGGCCATTTCCACCCAACATGGGCTCTTCCAACAGGCAATTCATCCCCCAAGTTCCCCATGGGGGGACAAATGTCAACTCTGGATGGCCAATGGCTTCCCTAGCCCACTTCTGCTTCCTGCCCTCCCTTTCATCCCCCTAATAAGTTTTTTGTTCTCCTCCATCTTAGGGACAGCCTCCTGCAGGCCTTGCTCACCTCAATGATCACCTACTACATGCATGGCTCTGGGCTGGGTTCTCAGGGGAAGACAGATGAGGGAGCTGCAGTCCTCCAGGGAAGGTCTCTCTGGACTCCAATGGGTGAGAATTGCACCTTCAGTGTTCAGCTCCCAGATAAACAGACACTTTTCAGGGTCACCTCTGATTCAATCTCCCCCTGCCACCAAATCAATTTATTTGGTTTATGGATTTTTCTGTCTTGCCAACCAACATGGATCATCTTACATCTCCGTATGGATCTTTAGGTGAGAGACTTACCTTTTGAGGGCAGGCTCTGAGACACAGGGCTACAGTTCAAATCTTGGCTCTGCCCCTTACCTGCTGGCAGACCTGGGGCAAGTTGTATGACATCTCTGTGCCTTAGTTTCCTCAATGACAAAAATGATAAAGATAGTATCTTCCACTTCCATAGTATCTAAATGAATTGATCTTAGAGGTCACTCGAATGGGGCCTGCCAGGAATAAGCTCTCGATCACTCTCAGTTATTTGTATGGGGAACTCAGTCTCTATTTAGTTTTTCACTCTCATGACTAGGGAAAAATACAGGACGTTCAGTTGTGTTGGAATTTCAGATAATAATGAACGATTTTTTAAAAGTGTGTTCTTTATCCTCCTTTCCCTCACTGTCTTTCCTCTTCCCTCATCCCTCCTGGATTTTCCCAGGAGTGCCCTGCGTCTCCCTCCATTGCGTGGTGTTCCACACGCCATCATGTACCCACTGTAGTGCCCCAAAGACCAAAGGCCCTTCTGTTTGGCAGAATTCATTTCCTTGTGTTATAGGAATTATTAAAAAATTATTTGAGGCAGATAAAGAGGAAAAGTGGTCCTTGGGAAGTTTTCGTTTCTGTTTTAAAAGCAGCTCCAAAAAACGTTTCTTGTCTAGCAGGAAAGCCCCGGCTCTTAGAATCAGGCTGGCAACCTTTGATATGCAAATGCAGACCGTTAGAAACTGGGTCCACCCAAACATGGGGATTCCCGCCATCTTTTCCTTGTCCCCATGTTTGCCTGGCAATATGGCCACCCCCACATAGTCCCACCTGTGTAGAACATCATGGCGCCCTGCATTTGCATATTAAAATGCTAGGGTGAAAGGGCCAGGTTTTTCAGGGGTTACATGAATGACATGCCTGGTCAAACCAATCCCCTGAGCCCTATGCAAATCAGATACTGCCTTCTCTAGCCTCCTCATATAACTGGCTTATTTCTGTGGCACTCAGGGTTTCCTCTCTCAGCTTTGGATCCCCCCTCCCTCTGTCTCTGTACAGGGGAGCTTCTTCCTTCTTTCTTGCCTATTAAACTCTCCACTCCTTAAAACCACTCCATGTGTTTCCGTGTCGTTTTATTTAAATCGGCGCAAGACTAAGGACCCTGGTGTTCCTCCAGTCACTGGAGCTGTATCACTTACAATAGCAATTGAGGTTTCAAAGAGCAACCCCTTCCTCCAACTACACCAACATGCACACACAAATTCAGGGTTTCACTTTGTTTTATGTTACAAATATTTTATTGCAATTTTTTCCCTTTAACAATGTCTGGATATTTTGGAATTAATATCTCGGACTTCTTTCTAATCCACATTGGTTCATCTTGTTCATTATGAACAGAGGATTCTACTTTACAATGTACTAAAATGTTGTTATGTATTTCAGGACCATTGAACATTCAAGTTGTTTATCATTTTCTTTGACCACCAACATTGCTGTAATGAATAGGGATTTAAGAGCAAAAGTAACGAGAATACTTGCTTAACCACTTATGAAAACATATCATAAAAGTAGAACAATCAAAATGGTGGATGCCATAGAGAAAGCAAGGTAACAAAATAGGAAGCCTAGGGACCAATAAAGTATATATACAAGGATTTCCTATATCACAAAAGTAACACTTCAGGTACATGGAAAAAGAATTTCAGTACCAAAAGGCACCTCAGTCTCACATCCACACATTCAAAAATAATTAAAATTTTACATGAAAAGTTGGAAACACAAAATGAACTAGAAAAACAATATATAAATTAGGACAAACACTGCTTTGCAATGGGAGGACCTTTGTAAATCTGACAGTAAAAGTGAAGAAGGAGTTTACTAGGGATCTGTTTGACATTACAGAAGCATTCATATTCATACACCATAAAACCTCATATACAACATTATAAGACAAACAACAGATTTGGGGGAAAAACACTCCACCATCTGTGAAAGACTGTATGTCAATAGTCAAAAAGACTTAATCAGAAAATGATAGCACCCAACAGAAGAAAGACCTTAATGGGCTTGGCCCAGTTAAAAAATACCAATCGATGCCTAAGATACCTATAAAAATATGTGCAAACTGGATAACTAAAATAATGCAAATTAAAGCAATTTAATGCCATTATTTTTCCTGTATCTGAAAGGCAAAGATTTAAAAGAACCATAATCCCTGGTGCAGGCCCAGGCATAGATCAGCAGCCCCTCATCTGTGGCCGGTGGGAGGGAGAGTTGCCTGGTCTATCTGGAAGAGTGGCCACCCGGGCCATTTGGACCAAAGGCCCTAAAGCATATATGCCTTTGGGGCATTTTCCTTTGTTTGGCAGTTTCCCCTGACTTTTCCGCAGTAGACGTGGGCTCTGGACTCCTCTCCTGATGTTCCCCAGGTCCCGCCAGCCTGCCCACCACTTGGGCCGTTAACTTCTCTACATGACGTGGGGTCTCAAGGGACTGGAGGTCCCACAGACATCACTGAGACAACTAGCAGGGCTCCCCAGAAGCTCCCAAACAGTCTCTCATGTGCGTCCCTTGCACCGCCCCCCCGACCCCCAATACCATGCCCATTTCTCGGAGTGACAATCGAGGCTAGTCTGAATTCCCTGAGCCTCACTGAGCGTGCCCAGTCCTGTGCCACTCTTCCAAGCCCTAACCCCCACGGGTGCCCACCTGGTGCCTCCCACCTCTGCACCCAGATGAGAATCATGTCATGTGCATCAGCGACTGCCGGGGACAGGCAGCCCACACAAGTCCTCAACACAACCAGCCGCATCTCAGTCTGATAAGGCTCAGCTCAGACCTCAGCCCCACTCTCATAATAAATCAGTGAAAAAAGAAGGAAGAAAAATGGCAAAAGCAAGGAAACCTGATTAAAAAAATGAGGGGGAGATGGAATGAGTATATCTAGAAAGTTCTAATAATGCAGAACCTACAAATAAGTTAACCTGACAGGAAAAATGTGTGCATGTACGTGTGTGTGTGTGTGTCTGTGTGAGCGCAGGGAGAGAAGTGATTTGCTGAAGGTCAAGGGGGCCGGAGCAAGGCTATCTCCTTTCCCAGGCCTCTAGCTACCTTGACAGGAGGCTGCCCCTTGGCTTTGCAGAAATGACTGAGGAAGGTCAGGCGGGAGGGAAGGCAAGCCCTCTCCATCCCCTTGCCTGTCTAGGCCTGGGGGTCTCAACACACCTCCCCAGGCTTGTTGACCTCCCAAGGGGGCAGAGACAGGTAGTCCTGCTGCTTCAGGGCTTTGAAGAGCTGAATGACGGGCACCTGGGGCACAGCCTGGCCTGGGGGCTTCTTGACTTGAAAAGCCTGGTCTAGGTTCTTGATCTCAGGACCGGGTCCCGGGGAAGAAGGTTTACTCCGGAGCGAGAGAGGGCCGGGCCCCAGGCCGGGGAGGAAGCAATAGTCGCCCACTTGCTGCAGGACAAGGAGGCCCTCGGGCTGTGGGGATGTTGGGGACACATCTGCCGGGCGTTCCCCTGGGTTCAGGACAGGGCTTTTGGCCTCAGGGGGGACAGGATTGTTCCTTGGTGACCTGGGGGACCGGCCCTCAATTGGAGGGAGCTCCACATAGCCCTCAAACCCTGACTTCACAGGGCCTGGGGCTCCAGGGGGTCCACTGGCCAGCCCAGGACATAAGCTGGGGGTCTGGTCTGAGGGGAGGCCCAGAGAGGGAACTAGGGAGACAGACGAGGCCCCTGAGTTTGGGGTGAATACCAGGTCTGCAGAGGAGACATAACCAGAGGCCACTCCAGGGTCCTCAGTGTCCCCAGAGCTCATGGGTATAGCCACAGGGCTGTCCTTTTGGTCCTGTCCTCCCACCCTTGGCCCAAGAGCAGGAGGGGCAGGGCCTCCCCCGGACTCCAGGGAGGGACTCCCTGCAGCCCCCTGGCTCGGCCTTCTCTCCACTTCCACGGCCTGTCCTGGTCCCATCGCCTGGGCCAGAGGGACCAGTTGCACCTGCCCCCCAGCAGGCAGACACAGGTACTCCAGGGACCCTGGAGGTGGGGACTTCTGGCTCCCACCCTCCTGTGGGGGCTCCGGCTGGCCCAGGATGTCAGGTAGGGAGCGGCTGTGGGGCGGCCCCAGGTAGGGCCCATTGAAGTCAAAGCTGGAAGCCTGTTTCTCAGGTGTGTGGGAGGCGGCAGGCGGGCCTGGCTGGGGGCTGGGGGGCTGCTCTGTGGGTAGATCTGAGGCAGCTGGAGTCGTGTCAGGCCCAGATGGTGGATCACAGACATGCTTGGGGTCCTCTATGGTGAGAGGTGACACCTCGCTGTCCCCGAATCCTACAGGGAACACCCTGTGGGAAGAAAATGGGCAGAAGAGTTGGGACCACCCTGGGCAGATGATCCGGGTCAGGCACAAGGGTCTTGGTGGGGTGGAGATGGTTCTCTGGAAGCCCTGATGTCCCCCAGATCTCACAGAGAGAACCTGAACGGGACAGGGTTGAGGGAGCAGGGGCCCCAGAGAAGGACATGGGACATGGATTCAGTCTTTCCGTGGCTCAGGAGCTCCATCCTCCATGCTGAGCTCAAGGTCTTCCTCTGCAAGGCTGGTACCCTCTCCCTTTTGACCTTAAAGTCCATCCTCCTTCAGCACCAGGCTCATGCCCAGCCTGTGCACTGGGCAACCCTTCCATCATTCTATCAACCATGCCACCCCCTTCTCCCTGCCGAGTTGGTGGTCAGCTGCCGGCTCAGGCGCCGAGTTCCCGGGAGTCTGCAGCCCCAGCTACCCCATGAGGCCTCTGCAGTGTGACGCCTCTGAGGCAGCCAGGGAGGGGAAGGCCAACTGTTTCCCTCTTTCACTTCCGGTCACTCCCCTTGTCTGGCACTTCCTTACCTGGAAAGAGGAAGTTCTTCCTCACATCCCCCCCAGGTGCCTCCTGCTTTAGTGCAAACCAGCTCCCTTGGATCCCTTCACAGTGAGCCACAGGCAGCCTCACTTGAGTCCCTGATTTCCACAATGGAGTCAGCCCCCCGTATGAACCCCAAAGGTCAGGAGTGATCCACGAGCCCACTCACCCCTCCAGCTCAGGGAAGCGGCTGCCCCACGGCCCCTGGTGTGGGGGACTCCCGCTAGTGAAGGCCGACATGCTGCCTGGGGGCCAAAGCTCTGCGCTCCCGTTCTGCAAGAGCAGAGACATTTGGGCCGGTGAGCATCAGGAGGTCCGAGGTGGGGGCAAGGCAGAGGGTGACGGGGGTGCAGGAGGATTCAAGGAGCCCCCAGACAAGAGAAGAATCTCCACTTCTTCAGGACTGGCCACGGCCTTTTGACACCAGCAAAGTGAGGCCCAGAGAGGGGCGGGGACTTCCCCCATGTCCCTGCTACCTGAGGACAGGGCCCTTTTCCTGTGATTTTTCTAACCTGGAGTGCCTGTCTCCATGCTCACCCCCATTTCTCCTCCACACCAGCCAAGAGACCCCTCCACAGGCAAAGCTGGCCCTGCCTGCCTGACTATAGGGCTCCCATCACCCACACGCTGGTGTCTTCCCCATGGTCATCTCAGCCTCCCAACATGGCCCCCAGCCTCCTGTCCCACCCCTTCAGCTCCCTTCCTGAAGGGTTTCTGTCTCCACCCTCAAGATGCCCTGAGCCAGAGCAACTTTTGCCACCTGGCACCACTGGGACCCTCAAAGCTCAGCCCAGGTATCTTGTCCTTGGGGAGCCCTTCTGCCTCCTGACACCCCATCCATCCTGGTAGCAGGAACCCCCTCTGTGAGCCCACCCTGTCCCAGGCATCCCCACACTCAGTTCTCTCCACTGGGCTCCATGCAGAGCTCTGGCAGGCAGGGCCAGGTGTGGGCACTCCAGGGAATCCCGGGAATGAATTTCCAAGTGCTGGCCCCACTCCCAAAGCTCCCAAAGCCCAGTCCACCTACATCCCTACCACCCAAAGCCCACAGGAAGGGAAGGAGGAGGTGGGGACAGAGACAAGAGAGGCAGGAACAGAGAAGCCCCCACTCCGCCCCTCGCAGCCAGTTCCTACCTGGAACAGGTGGCTCTTGCTGGGGTTGGGGATCTTCTCCTCCCACTTTCTGCGCAGCCTGGAAGACACCACGGAGGTGACAGCCATCAGAGACCTCATGGCCAGCTGCTCCCATGCTCATGCCCAGAGGGGAAACTGAGGCCCAGGAAGGGAGCGGCAGAGCAGGGCCTGGAGGGAGCTGGGTGGGATTCCCCAGTGCCCTCTGGGGTCTCGGCTGCCACCTCCAGCCCCACAGAGTCCCCTCACCTGTACCCGTAGATGCCACAGAAGCGGAGGGCCAGGAGCACAGCGATGGTGAGGAAGATCACGATGAGGGCCAGCACCCACATAGGCAGCACTTCCAGCAGCCGGGGAGAAAGAGGAATGTCAGCATCTGGGCGGGAAATCGACCTCAGGGCAGGGAGTGGGGTTGGTGCAGTATTCCTTAAGACCCCGCTCTGTGCAGGCCCAGGGCTCTGGAACTTACTGCCTTGGGGGATTAGGGGAGAGAGGCCAGATCCATGCTGGGAAGGGCATTGGTCTGAACCCCCACAGTGTTCAAAGTGCTGGGAGGACACAGGAGGGTCAGATCCTTTCCAGGATCTATAGCACAGGAGGTGCTACAGGGAGGGCAAGAACCACTGTTCATGGCAATCACAGGGGACTTCCTGAAGGAGGTGGCATATTAGCTGGGCCTCCAGTAATAGGAAGGATTAGAGGTGGAGATGGGGAAAGGCATAGTGGCAGAGGCACCAGCAGGAGCAAAGGCCCCTCCAGAGGCCCCTGATCCCACCTGCTGCCCAGCCCTGAGCTCCCAGGCCAGGTTCCTCCAGGACTCCCCTCTTCCTCCTCTCTTGGGCCCATTGGTCCGGCCTCCTTTCTACCTGGTTGTGGCCCTCTCCCTGGGCCCCTGCCGCTACCAAGCCTGGCTGGGGACTTGGGTTGCTCCCAATATCTCCTGTATCCTTACTCTCTCTGAAACCACCCCTTGGACTTGTCTTGTTCTGCGGGAGTCGCCTGGTGGTCACTGTGGTGAAAGGTGAGGGGTCAGTGCACGCAGCAAGTGCAGGGAGGTGGGAAGATGAAGGAATCACAGCAAAACCTTCCAATCCAAGGACCCAGTCTGTGGCTCTAGATTTTCTTGCTTCCATGGTAACAGGAAACTCGGGCTGAGCAACCACAAAAACTTGGTAGTCCCAAAAGCTAAGAAACCAAGGGCCATATTAACAGAAGCCTAAGTCCCAGTTTAAAGGAGGAGCGATCATGAGACCTGCTCTCCTCTGCTCCCTCAAGTCCTCACTTGCAGTCTGTACTGAACACCAGGTGTCACTTTCCAACGACTAGTGGTCCAAGGGAGGGAAGGAGGCCTGAGTGGAGTGGGGTCTGGAGCCCCACATCTCTGTGCCCACCCAGAGATGTGGCATCCTCTGCCCAGCTGTGCTGTCTCATGAAGAGTGGGTGGAGAACTTCTGACTCCACGCCCAGTTTCTGCCTGCTTTACTCTTTGCCTCTTTCAACTTGCGGGTCTGATGACCAGGTGGGAGGTGCTCTCTGCAAAGGCCTTCCCTTTCTCTTTGGCCACCATCTAATCGGGGAGACGGCTCACCTACAAGTTGTTGCAGGCCTGCTACGGCTGCTGCATTGGGGATTTTCTGGCAGTGAGAAACTATGAGCTGGTCCTGGCCAGAAGCTCTGGACTCCAGCCTTCACCTACCCGACTCGGTGTCCCAGGAGCGCGCCTCACTCCACTCGCTCCAGATCCCGTTGTAGCCGGTGCGGGAGGTCCTGACCCTCACCCTGGCCCAGTACCTGGTGGAGGGCTCCAGGGCTGGCAGGGCCATGCTGTGGGCGTTCTGGAGGGTCTCGGTCTTGCTGTCCTGTGGGTTGGCACTGAGGGTGAGGCCTGGCCCGGTGCCCGTGGGAGCAGCTGCAAATCCCTCCCACCTGGACCCTCGGCTTCGCTGGCTCCTAGCTCCTGCCATACCCCAGGCCTGCTGCGGCTTCTCTCTCACCACCGTGGATCCTCCCTGAGGGCCCACCCACGGACAGCACTTCGGATGGCACCGGGGACTCCACCTGTCAGTGCAGCCCCTGACATTGACAACACTGAGGCCCAGAACCCTGAAGCCACCTGTCCCACCCTATTTTGAGCCTTCTCAGCTCCCAGCCCTTCTGGGGCAGCTTGCACCCATATTGTGGCCTTTTTAGGAACGCAGTGCAGGCCGACTGGACTCTGGACCCTGAGAATGGGGGTTCAGGACCCCAGGGCCCGCTCCTGGCTCCACCACTGGCCCACCTCCCTCCTAGCCTCAGTTGCCCCATTTCTAGACTGAAGGTGTGGGGTTGGTTCTGTGGTTTCTGTTCTGGGCTCTGTGGAGGCAGGGGACCGAGCCCTGGCCTGGGCGCACCCCCGACTCATTAGAAGCAGCTCTGTCTGAGCCTCCATGTGTGTCCAGATGAGATTCCTCTGAGGAAATAACCCCAAACTTTCATGACTTTTGAAAACCTTCTTCCCAGTGGCCTTTCAACCCCTCCCTGCCCAGAGGGTCTTCTGTTGCCTGGGGACTCAGGGTCAGCTGTTCACGTTGGCCAAGCCACGCCACTTTTCCAAACCTCAGTTACTTCACCAAGAGACAGGACAGTGACCTGCTGACCACACAGCCTAGTGATCACCACGTCCCAGTGGCTACCTCTCACTGGTCACCTGCCAAGGGCCCGACGCCTTGCAGGTGGAATGCCTCTGGTTGCTTTCCCTTCTCCCGCCCTCCCCAGTGTTTCTCCCCTCCCTGGGCAAAGGCCCTCACCTTCCACGTGGCCGTGTCTTTCCTGTACTGGATCTCAAATGTGTGGTCTATGTGTTCGTATCGCATTTTCATTGTTTCCCAGCGCAGGCTGTAGCTGTCTCCATCCTTGGTCACGTTGAGGGATGGAGGGGCCATCTGGACTGGAGGGAGGGAAGCTTTCAGGAGAGTCATCATACCCACCCTCCAACGGAACATTCCCCGTGTCTCATGCTAGACACTGGGGCTGTCTCCACTGGCACCAGACCCCAGGTTCTGCCCATGGTTGGATCCTTTTCATCCCCACTTCACTATATCATGTTTTGACCTGAGTGGTATTCTCGTGGGAGATGCTGAGATACACTTGTTTTGTAGTGATGTGGCCCAGTGCTTGCACTACTCCTATTTTTATTTTTATTTTTTGCAGTAAAAATAAAACCACTGTTAGTTGGTTCTATTCTAGGCAACTGGCTATTTTTTTTTTTTTTTTTTTTGAGACGGAGTCTCACTCTGTTGCCCAGGCTGGAGTGCAGTGGTGTGATCTTGGCTAACTGCAACCTCTGCCTCCTGGGTTCAAGTGATTCTCCTGCCTCAGCCTCCCGAGTAGCTGGGATTACAGGCACCCGCCACCAAGCCCAGCTAATTTTTGTATTTTCAGTGGAGACGGGGTTTCACCATGTTGGCCAGGCTGGTCTTGAGCTCCTGACCTCACGTGATCCACATGCCTTGGCCTCCCAAAGTGCTGGGATTACAGGCGTGAGCCACCGCGCCCAGCCTGACTATGTTTTAGCCACTGTTATACATACTTATTCTACATGAATTATTCCACTCCATTCTAACAGCCCTATATGGTGGGTACTATTAACCTTCACTTTTCACAAACAGGGAAACTGAGTCACAGAACCATTAAGTAACTTGCCCTAAGGAAAGGCAGCTAAGCAGTGGTAGAGGCAAAGATTGCAATCCCACCAGTGTGATGGGCTCTCTTGTCTGACACTCTCAGAGGTGTAGGGAGTTGACTAAAGGCCAGGACATTCACACGTTCTCATCGCCAGAAAATCCCCAATAAAGCGGCTGTAACAGGCCTTCAACAACATCTAGGTGAGGCCTCTCCCCAGCCAGATAGTGGCCAAAGAGAAAGGGAAGCCCTTTGCAGACAGCACCTCCCACCTGGCCGGCAGACCCACAACTTGAAAGAGGCAAAGGGTAAAGAAAGCAGAAACTGGGCAGGGAGTGAGAAGTTCTGAACTCTAATCTTGATCTGCCTACTAATAGCTGTGCAGCTTTAAGTAAGCCACTCAACCTCTCTGAGCTTCAGTCTACCCAAAAGAAAAAAGAGAATGCTTATAACCTTGATGCCTTCACTGTATAAACATAATATGAATGCCCGTAATTTGCTGAGGTCTCTTATGTGCCAGGCATTATATGAGGCCCTTAATATATCCTGTGCTTTTGAACAATCAGAATTCCTTTTTCCAGTGAGGATCCCAAGAGAGTTAATGGTAAATTCAAACCCAGGTAATTAAGACAAATTGGCCTCTGCCCTTCACATATGCTAAAGACTGGATGGAAGAACTTGGTCATCATGAAACAACGTGAGAGGTTCCATTGCACTGGGGTCCTTGTTACATCACAGAAACGAGGGATGTTAACCTCCAAGGATCAACACTATTTGTACACACCACAGGCTCCAGTTGAAAAGTACATCATAGATCAATTACATTAAAGATAGAATATCAGTCGGTGGGGAATTTCGGATATCAGAAAGAGGAAAATCCAATGAGGAATGAAAGGGAAGGTTTTGGTGACAGGACCAGGAGGGTGTGGCTAGCAGTGGAGATTTAGAGAGCTGCAGGATGGGAGAGGGAAGCAGAAGAAAAGGACAAGAGATCAGAGGTTTTAAAGATCTGCTCCTGTTTTTGGCCACTGCCGTCGTGGTTTCATTGCTTCTCTGTTCACTTTTGGTCACTGGACTGCATCTCTTTGAAAGTGACAAACATGAAGACGGGGCCAGGAGGAACCCTGAACTGATTCGGGTTACACAATGAGGGTGTGCTGGTCCCAGACCATCCCCACAGCGGGCTAGGAGCAAACTCACTGTTCACTGAGCTCTTTATGTGTTTCTCTGCCCTCCTTGGCTGAACAGAGACGATGTATTGGCCGTGGGTCGCGGGGTCGGGCACGGGAATCTGGCAGTGGTGCCTGGTGTGGAGGCTGCCGAGCCCCTCCCTCAGCACTGGGGAGCACTCTTCCTCCCTGAGGAGCACAGCAGAGCTGAGGGCAGGGAGAGGGAGGGCACACGGGAGGGAGGAGAGCTTAGGGTGGGCTGTGGCTTCTGCTGGGGCCCCAGGGACAGGAGGAAGCTTGGAGAGAGCAAGGCCAAGAGGAGGGGAGGGGATGGAGAAAAAAGATGCTCACCCTGCATCTGGGCTGGGCTTGTAGAATAGGCCAAAGGAGACCGAGCTGGCCACCTCCTTCCTCACCTCCCAGGAGCAGCTGAGCACGGCGGCCCCGTCAAAGAAGCACTCCAGGTTCTGGGGCTGGGCCTCATCCCCTGGGTTGGAGACAGGTCCTCATGTACTCCGTCATTCATCCCTCCCATAGCTCTCAGTGGGTGCCCACCGTGTGATTCATCACACAGAGGTCATGAGCTCTGGGGCCAAAAGACCAGGGCTGAAACTTCAGCCTGAACCTGCCAGCTGTGTGTCCAACAGCTCCGAGAGAGAGAGAGAGAGTTCTGTGCACCTGCACGCCCTCCCGGGAGAATGGAAATAGTATCTAAGTTTCAGTGTTTGGGGATTGAACTGAAAAATGTGGGTAAGCCCTGAGCATCCTGTAGCCTCCATTAACACACAGCTGCTAATAGCACTGTTGTTGTTATTATTGTAATTGCCATTGGCAGAGAACGTGCAGAAAACTGGAAACCCAAAGTGAACAGATGCAGAGTCCTACTGGTCAGTGGTCACAGTAGAGGTGGGACGGCCCAGGGACGCTACTGGAAAGATGGCAGCAGGAGATCTGGGAAGCCCCCAGGTGGAGCCCAGGAACCCTGCTGTGCCAGGAGCTCCTGATGAGCCTGCCCTCCCACCACGGGGCATTTCCTGGGCTCTGGCAACATTACCTGGCTGGGAGTCCCAGCAAACCTCTGGGCTCCACTTGCTGGGACGTCCTGAGAGCCGAGAACCTGGGGCCAGGCGGGTCCGTACTCGGGCCACGTAGGTGCTGCTGGGCATGAGGTGCTCTGGCCCCAGGGTGGCCTGGGAGGTGTTGGAGAGGAGGATGGCTGCGTCCTGTCAGGAGACAGTGGGTGCTGGAGGAGGGGTGCTGCCCATCCCTTCGGGCTGGGGCAGAGCTGGCCGTGGTTCCTACCTCCCAAGAGTCCTGAAGCCGCTTGTAGACCACCTCAAACTCCAGATCCCCTGGGGACAACCAGTGGCTCTGGGGACTCCCAAGGGCCACACTCCAGGTCAGCAGGAAGTGGTCCTGGTCGGTGCTGATCTGCAGGTCCCTGGGCTCAGGAGGCTGGACTGGAGGGGAGGAAGTGAAGGGCACCTAAGGGCTGGACCGCTGGGGGGCAGTCAGGGCCTGCATGGCCTTTTGTGTGGACACAGGGGGTTCCAGGCCACCCCTGCCCCCAGCAGCTGAGGGACCTTGAGCAAGACCCGTCTCCTCTGTGAGCCTCAGCCCTTCATCTGCAAAACTGTAGGGTTTCAACATGAAAGCAATGGAAAGCCGTGCAGATTGCAATGCGCACGTGACCCGAACTCCATAAAAAGCGCTGGCGAGGAAACTCATTGGAGCCTCCTCTGTCCTGAGGCTCCCCACTGCCCACGCTGCGGCCTGGGTGGCTCCTGCTAGCAGAGGGGCCTGCGGTTCAGCGGCCTCCCCCCTCCTGCTGTCCAAGCTCCCTTCCTCCTGCCCAGGGTCCTTCCTGTTGTCAGTGCCCCGGGCAAATGCCTCCGGCTCTAGGAACATCCTCGGATCTGCATCTCCAGGCGGAATCCCTCATTCCTTCTCTCATTTCACCATAGCTCAGTGGAATTCCCTCCACCAGGGCCTTACCACAGCTGAGGGATTCCTATGCTTCTGTGTCTGCCTCCCCTAAGGTGTGAGGAGATGGGGGTGGGTGGGATTGGTCCTGACCCCCTTCCCTACCTCCAGGCTGAGATGCGGCTTCTCAGTGAATTATGGGGCAAGGTGAATGAGTGAATGAATGAACAAATACGCGTAAGCAACTTTGGGGCTTCTCATGAAATCCTTGCAGCCACAAGGCAAGCATCTATCTCCTGGGAACTCTGGGTTGTTCAAGAAAATGCAGAATGAAGACACGGCACCTGATTTCTGGTTTCTGGTGTCTGCTTGCTGAGGGATGGCTTTCAAACGAAAACATCCTCACACATAGGATGTAAGTGCTCTCTGCTGGACATGGGTTATGGCATGCTAGAGCATGTCAGGAACCATCAACCCAGAACGGCAGACACACAGCAGGGGAACCGCCCCTCCTCACCCACAGCCAGGACAGGCGTCCCTCATGGGTCACTGCACTCCCAGCCCCCGAGGCTGTCATGGAGGGGGAGCTCTTCCCGGCAGAGCCCTCTCGGAAGCTGCCACAAACTGCGCAGACTGGGAGCCCCATCAGAAACCTGCTCAGCCAACTCAAGAGAAACCTCTTGAGTCCACCAGCTCATTTCACAGACGGAGAAACTCATAGAGGAAGTAAAATGTCCAAGGTCTCCAAACATGGAGACTCAGAGCAGATCAGATGCATGCCTGTCGCCTGCCCAGTACCTCCCAGCATCCTTGATTCATTGCTAATCTGCATTAGGCTGGACCCTACCTCGCTACTCAACACAGGCTCCAGGAGGCCAAGGGCCACACTTCTCTCCCTATATCTAAGTTGTCTCCATCGCCTTAGAAACCTTCCTTGTTTCCAGGCTGTAAGCTCCAAGGGCAGGGTTGCTGGCTGGTTTGTTGACTGCTTCGTTGGCTTATGTAGGCGCTCAAGGAAAGAAGGTTGAATGAATGAATTGTGTGTATATCTGAACTATGATTTGCATGCCCTCATGTCCCCATCTCCTAGCCAGTTGTGTCCTCATCATTTCTAGGAATGAGTGCTTTAGGCCACAGCCTGAATTTCAACTTCTTTCCCAACTAATGCTCCTCCAATCTACCCTGTAAGTCCCCTGTCCCCAGCATTCTCACATCCACATCTGATCATGTCATTTCCCCTCAGTGCTCTCCATGCCTAGAGGGTCCCCTCTACCTGAGACTGCAGGAGACAGAAGCCTCTCCAGGGACAGGTCCTTACCTGTGTCTCCTGCTTCTTCCCACCGCTGTCCAGCCCTTGAAGCTGATGCTCCCTGGACACAATGGTGAGCAGGTTCCCCAGCTGCCCATGCCCTTCTGATCCCCCAGCCTCTGCACAGCTGTTACCCTGCCAGAGAGGCTCTTACTGCCCTCCCCTCCTGTCTACCCTTCAGATCTGAGTTGCAAAGCTCTTCCCTCTGGGAAGCCTGTTCTGATCTCCCAGGGGCCCTGCCCTTTACCCCCTGCATGAGGCACCCACCCGCCACTGTCAGTAAGTTCTCACGGTGGACGGCATACAGTGTTTCCCCTCCCTCCAGCCTGGGCCCCCTGAGCTCCATTCGGGAAGGAAGGGACTCTCGTGTCCATCAAACCCATGTGTGGAAATGTTGCTTCTGATGGACTCCTGGTGGCCTAACTGATCCCCTCCTCTGGCAGTGGCTTTATGATGTTGTGGCAAAAAAGGGCAGGAAGCCATGGTCAGAGCCCCTTCCGTGTGACCCTTGCAAAGAGCACCAGGTGGTTCGGTGGTTAGGACCGGGGACTCAGACCATCCTGCACTGGATCTCAGCTCTGCCAGCAGCAGTAGAGAGGCCTTGGACTAGTCACCTCCCTCTGTCTCCGTTTCAGCAGCAGCCAAAGGCACCAATAACAGCACCAAGCCTGCCGTGGTTCTGAGACTCCCAATGACAGCCTGCAGTACCTCCTACCAGCCTGCCACCAGCATGGGTTTTTGCCACGTCAACGAAAACTTTCATAAAACGTGTCCCTTTTCAGGTTTAGCTTCATTCTAAGCAACCATTTCCTTGAATCCAGGACTTCGAAGTGCAGGTTATATTTCTTTCTAATATAGAGGCAAATAAAACCTAACTACATAAAATAATCATCTACCCCACCCTAGACCACAGATGGCTTCATGGACCACTGTGGGATTTCGGCCCACACCGGGGCCCCTCCTCCAGGGCAGCGAGGAGACAAGCTCCCTGTCTACCATGCAGGAAGCCCCCGGGAAGGCTGACCCCATCTCTGTCATTACTGCTCAGCTGTGGGACTTCAGAGGAGGCATCTGACCTCCTGGGCCTCAAGGGCCACATCCAGGAAATGGGTTGCTTCAGAGATGAGATGAAACAACTAAGCGGACAGAGTTTTCTAACTTGGTAGGTTTCTAAGTGAGTGGTGAGAACGGTTTTCTTCAAGACAAGCCTGCAGTGCTGGAAGCCCATGGCTTAGTGGGAGGTGGTAGCAGCCAGGGGCACAGGAGAAGCCTTTGTCAGGGGCCCCTCTGCTCTGAAGTCTCCATGTAACCAGACCATACCCTCATCCCTCAAGAAACCCTCACCCAACCCCAAGCCACAGCCTTCTGCCTTGAAGACTCCCTGGACCACCCCTGGTGCCCCCGCTGTCCACACAGGAAACCAAGCCCCGGGCAGGGCCCCCAGCCCCTCACCATGCTGGGTCAGAGTGACGGTGAGCCGGGTGCCCAGAGGCCTGTCTGGTTGGAATGAGAAGTAGTCAACGTCAGTGACGACAAAACTCTGGCAGGGAATGACACATCTCCTGGGCACGCAGCGGGGATGGGGGCAGGCTGACCAGGGCATGTCATCACTGAGGTCACAGGACACTGGCTCCAGGAGGTCCCTGTTGGGAGAGGACACGGCTTAGCCCAGGGTGTATGGGTATCACTGACTCACGAAAGGTTCCTCGAGTGCTCACCACATGCCTGGCTCTGTTCAGAATCAGGGGCCAGCAGTGATAAAACACACAAAAATCCTGCCCACGGAGCTGCCATCCTGGGAGAAGGGGACCCGCATGGAACAAAGTGTGTAGCGTGTGCAGTGGAGAGAACTTCATGTGGAAAAATAAAGCAAGAAGCAGGTGAGGAGGGAGGAAGGGCTGGGCCAGGGAGGCAATTTGAAATATGGGACAAGCAGGCTTCTCTAAGGAGGTGACCTGGGGGCAGAATGTTAAAGGCATTGAGGGAGGGACTGTGCAAATTGTGAGGATTTCAGGAAATGGGAACAGCACGTGCAAAGGCCCTGGGACAGGCAGAGTTTGGTGTGCTGCGTGGCTTGGCCTAAAACCAGTGCGCAGGGAGTAGAGCGTGTGATAGGGAGGTCTAGGAGACCCATCCATCTACATGATGGGATTGGATCTCACTGCGAGTGAGTGGGAAACAGTCATGAGCAGAGGTGTTGTAGATTTTGATAAATGCTTTGAAAGGATTCCTGAGGGTCCTCGGTTGCGAATAGACTGAGGTGGGAATGTGGCAATGTTGGAAGCAGGGAGCCCAGTTACGAGGCTTCTGGAATATTCAGGTGACAGGAAGTGGCGTGCAACAGGGTGGTCAGGCTGGCGTGGGTGAGATTCATGTTCTGCTTGAGATAAGGTTGGCAGCATTTGCTGGTGGAGGGATGTAGCAGTCAGGAAGGAATGGTGACAAAAGAGACTTAAAAACAAAACAAAATCCTCCCTGTTGTTTAGTTTGAGCCACTAGGAGCTCCCATTTAGAAAGGGAGATGGGGAAGACAGAGGCAGCAGCGCAGCTCGGGTGAGAGCGGGACTTTGGTTGAGGACGTTTGGAGTCGGAGACACCTGTTGTCTAAGTGACAGGTGGAGAGGCCAGTACGCCTGGAGGGCTGGAGCTTAGGGGAATTGTGGGCTTGAGGTCACCTTTGGGAGATGCCCCAGGGGCCTGAGGGGGTCTCTGCAGAGTGGATACAGCAGAGAGGAGGTCCATGGACTGGGCCTGGGTGTCTTGCCATCAGGAGGCAGCAGACAAGGAGAAAGAGGAGGATGGGCAGGGCCCCGGGGGCACTGGGTGAGCTGTGGGCAGAGTCAGGTGCAAGAGAAACTGCAGGGAGGCCGCGGTGGTCCTCCTTGTCAGGGGCTGCCCCTGGTCAAGTAGGAAGAAGGCGGAGGCCCAACCATGAGATCCTGCTCCCTGGGACATTTGCTGACTTGGACCAGAGCAGTTTGGGTGGCCTGGTGGGGGCAGCATCCTAGGGGAGTGGGCCCAGGAGGAAATGGCTGGAAAGACACTGGACGTGGTGAATGTGGACAACTCTTTAGGGAATGCTGCTGTCAAAGGAAGCAGAGAAAGAGGGGCCGCAGGGTTGCCAGGTCAGGAGATGCCCAGGCGCTGCACTCCTGTGGGCATCTGAGAGGGGGTTGGGGCAGGTTTGCAAGGCAATTGGGAAAGATCCTGGGAGAGGGCATGGTGGGTGGCACAGGGCAGAGTGGGGACTTGGGGGCCGTGATGTTCCTGAGCAACAGGACCAGACAGCATCGTGTCTCAGGCCTCAGACAGGAGCCCTGGTCCAGGCCCAGGCCCCGGCGGTGGGCAAAGGGGGTGGGGAGTGTGAGTGTGGGGTGGGTGGGGAGCTTCTCCCTGGTCCCCTGTTGTGTCAGAGCAGCAGGAAGCAGGTCACAGGGAGGGGCAGGATGGTCTTTGAGGAGAATGGAGAAGGTCCGACAGAGACGCCCTGGAGAACTGAAGGCGGTGGAGGGGTGGGGGTGGCAGAGCCGGCCCCGCCCCCCAACGCTGGGGTGACCTCCAATGGGTTGTCATCTGCCTCTCTGGTTCCAGCTATTTAATTACTTAATTTATGGCTGATTTAGACCCTGGCCAACACCCCAGAGCGATTCTGGTCCCCTTCCCTTGTGGCACGTGCCCAGGAGAGCTTGGGTGGGAGAGGTGGCAGCCCACATACGGAGGGGGGGCCTGGGAGAGCGCGGAGCCCCCTCCCAGACACGTCCACACAGCTTGCTCTGCCACTGTCTACCCCGTGGCCAGGGCTGGCACCTCACCTCCAGGGCCTCAGTTTTCCCATCTGTGAACTCCCAGGCTAGCGCCATCTCTCCTTGGTCTACTCTGGACAGGCAGGCAGTGGCACAGCTGGGGCTTCGTGGCCTGGCCCTGCCCACCTCACAGTGAGGAGGAACTAAGATAGGTCATGTGGGGCAATTGTGTTAAATTGTGATGAAACAAGAGAAGATTTTCACCATTGCCACCACCACCATTGTCACCAACATCAGTGTAGGAGGCACTCCGCAGAAACCCCAGGTCAGACGGCAGCACCCGGCCTCGCAGGTGCCTGGCGGAGCAGGAGCTCTTGCAGGGCCTCCCTCCTCCTCTGTCCTCTGTCCACTCCCACCCCGAGGCTGACCTGACAGGTCCCTCTCTACACTGTCGCCCCATGCCAGGCACAGGGGACGTCGTAGCCCCTGCCCGTGGCCCCTGCCCCCAGCATCACTCACTCATTCACCCGGCGAATGAGGGTCACGTTGACGAGCCGCTGGGCATCCTGGGTGTCTGCCCACCTGCAGGTGATGTGGCTGGTGTAGTCGTTGTAGCAGCGCAGGGTCTGCAGCGGGATGGTTTCTGACAAGAGGGGTAGAAGGGGGTCACCTCTCTTTCCTGCAGGGACCCTTGTCACCATCACCCCCAGCTGCTTTGGGATGTCCCGCTCTGGGGAGGGGTCTCCCAGGTCCCTGCAGAGGCACCAGGTGGCCAGGCACATGTACATGTGTTCATGTCTGCCGGGGTGGGCTCCTGGTTGCGGACCCTCCTCTCCTGGCAGAAGCAAGACATTCTGTTGGTTCTCAGCATGGTTTCTGGGCCTCCGCAGTGTGCTGTTCCTGGGCACGGTCCCCTCCCCCCACCCCAGGACAGGGACATGCATCAAGCACAGGCCTGGCCCCTGGACCGACTGTGCAGCCTGGGAGGGGGCACACACTCAGCCCTGGGATGCAGCGTGGCAGAGTTCTACCCTGCAACCTCCCACCTCCTCTCTAGTCCCCGTCCTCAGGAGCCTGGTATTTGTTAAGGGGACTGTGGTCCCAGCATTATCACAGAAGCCAGGTCTCTGGGAGCCCTTGGGAGGGGCCATTTCACCTCAAGAGCCCAGGAGCATCCCAGTGCGGGCTTCAGGCACAAGGAGGGTGCTAGCGGCTGAAGCAGGGAGAGAACCCCAGCCAAGGCCCTGCAGGAGCAAAGTCCCGGAGGTGGGAACCACTGAGGCACAGAGAGTGTCTGCTGGGGAAGGAGGGGCAGGGAAACGGCCAGAGCAGCCATCCTGGAGCCTAGGGGCCGGGAGTGCCGCCCTGAGAAATGTGGGCAAGGAAGCCAGACACGCTCAGCTGGACTTTCCAAGACAGGATGAGCAGGAATGTGCAGGAGGAGGGAAGCGGGGGAGGCCCAGGGAAGGCCAGGGGGAGAGACAGAGGGAGGGGAGCAGGAGGAGGGCTGGCGGGCAGGATCCTGAGGATACGCTGCGGCCCTCCCCCAGGGTGCAGCAGTGAGGACAGGGACAGGGAAGTGGGTGGGAGCCACGGGACTCACCTTCTGCCCCTGCCAGGCTGCGCTCCCAGCACAGGGCCAGCAGGGCCATGGAGAGCAGCCCCTGGGCCAGCACCATCTCCCTGGTCAGCTCTGGACAGGCAGGCACCAGCACTGGTGGGTGCTGGCCATGGGCATGACAGGGTCCTTAGTGTCCTGAAGTCCTGTGTTCCTGCCCAGCTGGGAGCCAGGCCAGACCCATTTCACAGGCTCTTGGGACCTCTCCCTCCTGGCCTCTGCCTCCTCCAGGCCTGCAGAAGGAGATGTCAGCAGTGAGCTGCCCCTCCCCTTCCACGTGTCCCAGGGACACCGCCCGTGTTGTGGGGACAACCCAGAGAAGTGGCCCTCATGCATGACCTCTCAGTCTCCTGCGGCATGAAGGCAATGGACATGCGCTGTGTGGCCTGAGGGACTGGGTCCCCACTTGGATCACTGACACCTACCACTGCACAATGCGCTAGACAGCAGAGCAGCTGAGACAGGGGCCTAGGATTTGACTCCTACTAAGCTCCCCGTGGGCTGCTGGTCCACGGCTGTTGGATGCCACAGTGTCATCCCCTGGACATGAACACATGTACACACACATGTCCTCACTTCCACAGGGCCTGTGCTCTCCCCACCCCTGCTCCTTTTACCGTCATCCCCCCACCCTCTGCTTGCCAGTTCCCTTTTCTCCTCGGAGGCCGGGGGTTTCCTCCCTTTCATTTCACTGGTCTGGGAAGTACCCAAGAGAGCAGAACAGACAAGTGTGGCTCCTTTTCTTCTGTTAGATTGTTGGAAGCTTCACTCAAGATGCCCATGCAAACACACACACACACACAAGCACACGGACACACGCAGGCACACACACGCACAACACACAGACACACACAGATACATACATATATACACGTACACACAAAACATGCACACACATACCCACATGTATACACACAAATGCACACACAGACACACACACAGAGGCAGACACAGACACACACAGATACATACAATATACACACATATACACACACAAACATGCACACACACATACAAACACACACACAGAGACACAGACACACATACACACATGAACAACACAGATACATACATGTATATACACATATATACACATATACACACAAACATGCACACACATTCACACATACACAGAAATTCACACACAGAGGCACACATACACAGACACACATACACATACATGCACAACACACACACACATACACACTCGCATATACCACCTACACACAGACATACACACACACATACAGATACATGCACAGACACACATACACACACACAGAATCTATCAATGGACATGCTGGCTGGAAACAAACTCTACTTGACCCCAGACTGAGAAGGAATCAGGAATCAATGTGAAGCGATGAAATATTAAATTTAAAAAAATGCTAAAATCATTGATTAACAACATAAAAATGCCTATCTAAAACCCCATTTTACACCATTCCCCAAATAACAAGTTAATTATAAATTTAAATGTAAAATGTTACATCCTATGAAAGCTGCAAACCAGAGGAGTGAATGCCTTTGAACTCTTTAAGCTTAAAAGCATAGGAGACATCACAGAGACAAAGGCTGGCAGAAGTACATAAAAGTGAAATCTTCTGTAATTTGTCAAACTGACTGAACCATAAAAGGAAAGGACGGAGTGCAAACAGAAAATCTTTGCACCAATGTACTCATCCGTTAGGCTACTGTAACAACATACCATAGATGGAGTGGCTTACTAGTAACAAAGTTTATTTCTCATAGTTCTGGAGGCTGGGAAGTTCAAGATCAAGGTGCGGGCAGATTCACTATCTGGTGAGGGCCTGTTCCTTGCAGTCTTCTCCCTATAATCTCACATGGAATAAGCAAGGGAGCTCGCTGGGGTATTTTATAGGGTGCCACAGGCACTACCTCCAGATATTCTCACATTGGGGATTAGGTTGCAACATAAACTTGGGTGCACTTCAACATATAGACCATACCAACCAGAATTATGGAGGACAGGTTAGTGTCTTTTACTTTAAAAGGTTAAAACAAATCAATATCATCAAAGAGCACAAACAATACTCACATACACAGAGAGAATTCATGATAGTGGCTGACAATATTGCAGTGTTTTCCATGAGCCAGGCATTATTCAAAAGGTTTTACGGATATGAATACATCTATGTATAGGTTACCACTAGAAGCTCCACTTCGTAGATGAGAAAACAGGGGTGGGATGTTATGTAATTGGTCGACAGTCACACGGTTGGTAAGGAACAGGTTGAGATTCGAGCCCGCAGTGGGCTGCCTCTAGACTCTGTCCCTGACCTCTATGCCAATAGTGATTCAGTTTCCCAAATGTCAAAACAGCGCACATCTATTCTGACATATGCTAACCCAGCAGACACTTCTACAGACATGTACAGATACAGCAAAAATAAAAGAGTACATTAAGACATCTAAATCAGCATCCTCAGGGAGATTTGAGAATCATAGCCATTTAAAAGAAGACACTTCTATGCAAAGAACAGAGTTCTTGGAATTTGAAGATATGAGATCCATAATTTAAAAAAAAATCAATCAAAGCCTGGGCGCGGTGGCTCACGCCTGTAATCCCAGCACTTTGGGAGGCCAAGGTGGGCAGATCACTTGAGGTCAGGAGTTTGAGACCAGCCTGGCCAACGTGGTAGAACCCCGTCTTTACTAAAAACGCAAAAAAAAAAAAAAATAGCTGGCCATGGTGGCGCACGTCTGTAATCCCAACTATTCTGGAGGCTGAGGCAGGAGAATTGCTTGAACCTGGGAGGTGGAGGTTGCAGTGAGCTGAGACCGTTGCCATGGCACTCCAGCCTGAGACTCTGTCTCAAAAAAACAAACAAACAAAAAAACAACAACAATCAATAGTGGGCCAAACCACAGAATGGATACCACAAATGAAAAAGATAGATATATAAAATAGAGCAAATAGTCAAGGAGATGAAAAGTCTTAGAGAAAACTTTAGGTTTGGGAAAGAAATTCAAAAATTCCAGCATTCAGAAGCAGGGGGTGGAGAGAATTAAGAGCAGGTATGGCAGACAATGTCAGCTACCTAGTCTGAAAGACAATGGAAGACCGTGTCCCTTTCCTCCTGGCAACAGAAGCCAAGGTTTTAGCTGAGTTTATTGCTACACAGAATAAAAAGGTCTATTTCCTTCCTATACTCCGTTGCCACTAGGTGCAGTCAAGTGACTAAACGTGATCCAAGGAGATGAGAATAGAAACATTGTGTATGTCTTCCAAAAAAGGCTGCTCAATGGCAGTTGACTTAGGTGGGAGGGGTTCATTTTTGTCCCTCTGTCTTTCTTCCTTCTTCCAGCCTGCAACTTGGAGGTGATAGCTGGAGCTTCAGCAGCTATTTTGGACCATGAGGTTACCTTGAGGATGGAAGCCATATGTGAAGATGATGCAACAGAAAGAGAGGAAGCTGGATTCCCACTCTCACTCTGGAGCAACCATACTAGCCTGAAACTGCTACCTCTGGGCATCTTTTATATGCTGGGAAAAAGAAACTTCTATGTTGTTAAGCCTCTGTTGCTTAGGGATTTTCCATGTGCAGCCAAACAGATACAACAGCAAATGGGGAAAGCTTCACAGGGCTTTCAAGGAGACAAGAGGCCACTCAATAAAGAACAAGACTCCTTTTTAAAATATTTTTCAAAGACAGTAAGGAATCTGTATTCAAGGGGGGAGGCTACTACGATGAGGTTTTGTAGTAGGGGACAGAGATCAGGGTTAACTCCCAAGATTCCTTTTAATAAAGCCATGCCTAGTTCTCACTGGTAAACTTTTCGTCTTGCAAGAATATGAGGATGATCCCAGAAATGCTTCCAGAAGAAAACAAATAGGATACTTTGAATGCAACAAGGGTCAGATTGGCTAAAGATTTCACATAAGAGACTCTGAACTTTAAATAGATGTCTTGAAAATACCAAGGGAAAATTATGCTTAAACCTAGAATCACAAAATGCCAAGTTTTCTTTGACATTTAAAGGACACAAAAAATTTTGAGTATGTAAGGACAAAGAAAGTTTTTCAGATCTTTTCTGAAAGAAATTACTCTAGGTTATATTTCAGGAAAAAAAAATCCAAGAAAGCTGAAATACTGAGGTAAATAAACCTGTAACACTTACAGATAAGTTAAAGAAGAATATTGAACTAAAACTCAGATGATTTTAATGTGGGAGTTTGCTGTGAGGCTGGGGTGGAGAATGGAAGAGAACTGAAAACTTGCTAAAGATCTCCTCTTGTTTTGGAAGATCATATATGTGCTAAATAAACCCAAATGCTGGTAGCAAATATGGTTTCTTTAAAAAAAATACTATTTTTTTTTTTTGAGACAGAATCTCACCCCATCACCCAGGCTGGAGTGCAATGGCATGATCTCGGCTCACTGCAATCTCTGCCTCCGGGGTTCAAGCGACTCTTGTGACTTAGCCTCCCAAGTAGCTGGGACTACAGGCATGCACCACCACGCCTGGCTAGTTTTTGTATCTTTAGTAGAGGCTGGGTTTCACCATGTTGGCCAGGTTGGTCTCAACTCCTGGCCTCAAGTGATCTGCCCACCTTGGCCTCCCAAAGTGCTGGGATTACAGGCGTGAGCCACTGTGCCCGACCCAGAAAATATAAGTTCAATACATTTTAAATCCCTAAAAACATAAAGATTAAAAATCACTAAGAATGAAGAGTAAGCATGGGGACAGGAGGATGACAGAGAAGGGATGGGAGGGACAGAGAAAGGAAGAGAGAGAAAAGAGAAGAGAAAAACCAAACACCTTCTTACTCAAAATAAACATGCACATATTACATTCCCAAGCTCATGAAGAAATTGAATGGCAGGGATAAACATTCCCAAGCTTATGAAGAAATTGAATGGCAGGGATAAAAACTAGGGGGGAAAAGCAAAATACAAATTCACTCCAGACAAAAACAATTTCATAGGTCAACCTGACAAAGACTTTTAAAAGAAGAAGACATCATGGCCAAGTAGAGGGTACTCCATACATGGAAGGAGAACCCTTAAGAAACCTATTTATGATTCAAACAAACAGATGAACGGATTAAAAGGGAAAAAAGGATAAGCTGATCTTGACAGACACTCCTAAATATTTAATAATAAACAAGACATTTCTGGTTAAATGAACAAACAAACCCTGGCAAATGAAGCAGTGGCGGAAACGTTGGCATCACTGAAAGTCTGCCAGAAACCAAAGGCGATGACAGAGTCAAGGGGGCACGTTAGTGTCCTCCTGTCAAAGCCTCACACAGGAGGCTCTCACTATTGTCTTTACTTCCAGTGGTCAATGTCCCTCAGATCATCTCTAAATTCAATGCAATCAACATGAAAATTCCAAAAAGGAATTTAATGGGCTTGGCAAACTGATTTTTATTTTTATTTTTGAGTTGGAGTCTCACTCTGTTGCCCAGGCTGGAGTGCAGTGGCGTGATCTCGGCTCACTGCAAACTTTGCCTCCTGGGTTCAAGCAGTTCTCCCACTTCAGCATCCCAAGTAGCTGGGATTACAGGTGCACACCACCAAACCCGGCTAATTTTTCGTATTTTTAGTAGACATGGGGTTTCACCGTGTTGGCCAGGCTGGTCTTGAACGTCCAACTTCAAGGGATCTGCCTGCCTCAGCCTCCCAAAGTGCTGGGATTATAGGCATGAGCCACTGTGCCTGGCCTTGGCAAACTGATTCTAAATTATAACAAACCAGAGATGAGAGACTTGCTCCATTCGTTAGAAAAATAATAAGGAATGTAGTGACAGCCAAATGGAAGAGAAAACAATAAAGAAAATAACGAAGTATGTATAGAAGCCTAGGATGTAATAGGGGCACTTCAAATCATTGAAGAGAGGAGAAATCACACACTCATAATTAGCAATGTTAAGACAATTAGATGGTAATTATTTTTAAAAGTTACTTTACACATTACTCACTTCTCTAAATTCTAGGTGGGCTAAAAATCTCAAAGTCAAAACCAAAATAGTAAAATTATTAAAACTCTTTCTGTAATCTTAGAGGTTTCAAGACACCAAACCAGAAACCATAAAGTAAAAAGAGGTTTACAAGACACCTGTGATCTTAGAGGTTTACAAGACACCAAAATCAGAAACCATAAAGTAAAAAGTAATGACAGGTTTGACTTAACAATGAAAACATTTTTATATGACATAAGACATCTTAAACATGGTAAAGAAAAAGATAAGTCATAACCTGGGAGAATATATTTTCAACATATATAAATGGATTATTAATACACGTAATAAATGAGTCACTCCAAAAGTTAAGATGTAAAAGAGAATTCAACAGGAGATGAACAAAAATTTCTCCACATTCATCATAAATGAAATCCAAAAGGCCAATCCACATATAGAAAATGTACAACTTCACCCATAATCAGGGAAAGAAAAAAATCACGCGACATTGAGAATTTCCATACATAATATTGGACAAAATTAGAAGATTGATAATTTCTCTAAAGGTAAATTGGACCCTTTATGCACTACCTTGGGGACGTCAGCTTAGCTCAGCTACTTTGAGGCTGATTTGACAATACCTATTATAATTTCTAACGCACAACCTCTGCACAGCAATTCTGCATTTAGTAATTTAGGCTACAGAAACACTTTCACAGATGTGGAAAAATTAGAAACAATCTAGGTGTCGATCAACGTGAGATTAGATGAATTGTGGTGTACCCATCCTAATAAATGCCACATATTTCTTAGGGTTACTTAACGAGTTAAATCTGTATGTATTATTGTAGAAATTTGGAAATATTCCAAAATACAATATTAAGTGAAAAAATTAGGAATATATATATATATATATAAATAAAATAATCCCATTTCTGTAAAAAGAAAAACTACCATCCTGGCACAGTGGCTCAAGCCTGTAATCCCAGCATTTTGGGAGGCTGAGACAGGCGGATCATCTGAGGTCAGGAGTTCGAGACCAGCCTGGCCAATATGGTGAAACCCTGTCTCTACTAAAAATACAAAAATTAGCCACGTGTGGTGGCTCATGCCTGTAATCCCGGCTACTCAGGAGGCTGAGGCAGGAGAATCACCTGAACCCGGGAGGCAGAGGTTGCAGTGAGCCAAGATTGCACCACTGCATTCCAGCCTGGGCGACAAGAGTAAAACTCTGTCACAAAAACAAAACAAAACAAAACAAAAAACAAACAGGAAAAGAAAAACTATATGCTTGTATCATGCTTAGAAAATGTTCTGGAAGAATACATGTGGTGAAAAGAATAAGCTATGGAACTAGGGAAAAGAAATTGCTGGGGACTTTGTCTCTTGTGCTACATAATTCTAGATTATTCTAATTTTCATGAAGGTAGGTTTCTGTGTAGTTGCTTGTTTAGCATTAAATACATTCCTTATACAACTCATGAATTATCCTGTGGTGTTGGTATATCTGTATACTGGAACAATATAAATAAAACTGCTGGATGAAAAAAAGAGTGACCAAAAGCTAATAGGAAATGTTTACTCATTATAAAATGATTACAAAGCAGGAAAGATGATAGAAAAAAATTAGAATTGGGCTGTACAAAAATATAACAGCAGGGTTTTTGAAGACTAAAAATTGCACATATGCAGCTTGTCGCTAGCACCTGTCTGACAAGGTCCCAGTGAAACACCTGCCCTTTCATTCTCAGGGCCAGTACACACACCTGCACACACCCTGAAGCAGGCACCCCAGATACCCACCCACCCAGCCAGCATACTTGGGTACAGAACACACACACCTGGGCCCCAACCCAAATCAGCAACCCAAATCAGCAGGGCAGAGTGTCATAACTAAAAAGACAGACAGACAGAGAGAGAGACTGAGAGAGAGAGAGAGAGAGAGAGAGATTGCTGGATAGTGCCTGGTATGTCTCTGGGCAAAGTGCTGGGCTCTTTCTCAAGTTCAAAGTGAGCTTCTCAAGCCACACCGCACCCAGCTCTGGGCCTCAGCGCAGCAAGCTTCCAGGTTTCACCCTCTGCCTCTTAGTCTCTCTGCACTCCTGCATCCCCAGACATCCGCACATGCACATACACACACAGGCACACACACAAATGCACACACGGGCAAACACACGAGCATGCGTTCTCTCTCTTTCTAAACCAAGATGTCAGGGACTATCCATGCTCCCCATTCCACAGATGAGGAGACAGAAGCCCAGGGTGGACAGGGGGTGCTCTCACTACCACCAGCATCTTAGTGACAAAGCGAAGACAGACTATAGGTGCCTGACTCCCAGGCCTGAGCTCTCTTCACCCCACTAGGCGTCCTTCCCACCAGGACCAACCAGATCCCGCTAGCGAGGCTGAGTCCTCCCCAGAGCTCTCCTACAACACCCAAGCAGCTTGGCACCCCTGGCTGCCTCCCCATCCACTGGCCGCCCTAGGAGTCTGGGCTCAGGTCATCCTAAGAGGCCAAGCCCTAACTCCTCCAAGTCCCCAGGGCACAGCTACCCACAGGACGCCCCCCAGGCTCCCCCTGTCCTTTTTCATCCTGGACTCCCCACATTCCCCCCTGCTCTGACCCCACCCCTCAGCCCTGCTCCTGGACGCCGGGCCATACCTCTGTGTGGTGGGAGAGACCAGTCTTCTTCTGGAGCCTCTAGGCAGAGTGAGCCTCCCACGTTTCCTATTTATGTTGATGTCATCAGGAAACAGAGAAGCAGAAAGAGGAAGCAGTGCCGGCCCAGGCCTACTTTGCTAATAGTGCACGTGACTTTTCTTACTTCCAGAAAGCCTCCTACTCCAATTTACCTTCCTATAAACTCCTAGGCCTCCTTCAAGCCTCAGCTGACGCAGGGCCTCCTCCATGCAGCCTTCCCTGACTGCTTGATGGGGATGCAGGTGGAAGTGGCTGCAATAACCATAGCTGGTTTGAGCCCAGAGCCAGACAGATCTGTGTTGGACTTCCAAGTCCACTGCTTCTTAAAGCGTGTCCTTGTGCAAATCATCTGCGTGTTACTTCCCCAAGCCTCGGGACATCCATCTGTCTGTTACTTTTGCAGAAGCATCTACAAACCTGGAAGGACTGTTGAGGGAATCCAGTGAGATTCTGTGCAGGAAGACCTTAGCTCAGAGCTGGCCACAGGAGAACCCCCTACAAGTGGTAGCTGGTGGCATGTTGATTTCCCCGATGTCCTCTTTGCCCTGCCGCCCCACCCCACCATGTGTCATATGGTCATGTGTGTTCATGGCTGTCTTTCTTCTGACACTATCTTCAGTGCTGGCTTGTGTCCGGCTTGCACTTCCCTCCCAAATACCTAGCACATGGCCTGGTACAGAGGAGAAATTGCACCTTTGACTGTGTGCAAATGAATAGATGAATGAATGAATGAATGAATGAATGAATGAATGAATGAGTGGCTCCCTGAGCACAGCAGGGCCAGCAGAATTAAGGTCAGGTGAGTGAGGCAGTCTCTCGTGCTCAAAATTTAAACAGGCATTTAAAAATTCAGTAATTGTTGTAAGTAATATTTTAATGCAATATGGTTTAAAAAAATCCCAACTGATGCAGAAACTATTCACGGTGAACCAAATATGAAAAGTTTGAATAAAGACAAGATGAATCACAGTGCCAAGACACAACAAAACGCAGTCATATTTCTCCTACATGGGGCTGCCTCCCAGGAGAAAGGGCAGCAGGCAGGAATGAGGGGAATGGAGGGCAAGAATGAGGGGAATGGAGGAAATGGAGGGGCAGGAACCTGCCTCGAAGCCACTGGAATTCTGGCCTGATTGTTGTTCTTTGCTTTCCTCCTACCAGGAAGGGCAGGGTTGGCCAGGAAGAGCTGGCAGGGCCTCACCCTAGCAGAGAAAGCCCAGGGTAGAGGAAGGCATGTGTGGTTCTCTCAGGCACTCCGGTCAGTGTGAGGTCCCTGCCTGGCATGGAAAAACCCTGCAGGGGCTTCTCCAGGGCTGGAGAGGATGGAATTAAAGTGACGTCCCGGGCTCTCTTTTCTCCCAGGTGTCCCCACTCTGCCTGTCTTTGCTGAGGTCCTCTGTGGGACTGGGAGGCTGCGGGCCTGGATGCCCTCAGGAGCACAGAGGATGCTGTCTGGTGGAGAAACGAAGAACCCGAGACTCTGAGTCAAAATCACTCCGGACACCAGACCCAAAATGTGAAGGAGCTTTAGGAACACCTCAGCCAATTCACTTGACTGACCCTTTCCTTTTAAAAGTCATCATAGAGCAGCAGGGGATAAAAATCTACATTTGAATGAGTCTAACAGAGTTCTCTCAATAAGTATTAAAAGTTCTAAGCGAGAAGAATCACACCGTCAGGAATTCATTGAATGTTTTCGTTTGTTTGTTTGTTTTTTCCTTCAGTGGTATGTAAAATACCGTGTCTTGCAATTGACGATCTTTTAGAGACTAAGAAACCCAAGAAAATGTTGGCAAGAACGTAGTACTCATAATGACCAGGGCTTGAGCATTTACGCTGTGAGCAGACCTTCGGCTGGGGGCTTCTCCATCTCTTCCCAATAACCTTTATGTAGCTGTTACTGTCTTCACCTTACAGATGAAGAAATTGAGGCATGAAAAGGAAGATAACTTGTTGAAAGTAGTAACTCGTATATGTTAACATTGCATTTTTTTCCATTTCCATTTTTATTCTGAAACTATTTCAAAATACAGAGCGTTAAAGGAATGATACAAAGAACTCTCACATACCCTTCATGTGGAAACCCCCTTTGAGTTTCGCTAAGCTTCTCAATAATGGTTTTGTAACAAGAAAATCCATCCGGGACTTTGCATTCTCTCTAAATGCATGGCTCTTAGTTGCCATGTCTTTCGGGCCTCCAGTTTGAAACAGATGCCTTGTTTTTTCCTCGACATCTCGAAGACTGCAGGTTGGTTGTTTTGAATAATGTCCCTCGATTTGGCTCTGTCTGATGATTAGAACTGGGTTATGCTTTTTTGGCCAAAATAGCACAGAAGTGATGCTGGATTATTCTTGGTGAGTCCTATTAGCTTTCATTGTCAATCTGTCCCATCACTAATGTCGTTCGCTCTGATCATTTGATTAACTTGACACCAATCAAGTTTCTCTATTGTAAAGTTACTTCCCCTTCCACATCGTAATTTATAAGCATTTGGTAGGGAGATACTTTTAAGCTTTCTCATCCCACTCCCACACTTGTATAATTTCAGTATGCAATGATGTTCCTTAATTTAATTAAACATTATCATGATGATCATTGCCAAATGGTGACTTTTAAAAATTCTGTCATTCAGAAGTCCTAGCCAGAGCAATCTAACAAGAGAAAGAAATAAAAGACATCCAAATAGGAAAAGAAGAAGTCAAACTTTCTCTCTTCCTTGATGATATGATTTTATACCTAGAAAACCCTAAAGACTCCACCAAAAGTCCCCGGGAACTGATGAACAACTTCTATAAAGTTGGAAACAAAATCAATGTGCACAAATCAGTAGTATTTCTGTGCACCAATAAAGTTCAAGCTGAGAGCCAAATCAAGAATGCAATCCCATTTGCAATAGTCACACACACACACACACAAATAAAATACTTAGGAATGCAGCTAAGCAAGGTCATAAAAGATCTCTACAAGGAGAACCACAAAGCACTGGTAAAAGACATCATAGATGACACAAACAATTGGAAAAACATTCCATGCTCATGGATTGGAAGAATCAGTATCATTACAATGGCCATACACCCAAAGCATTCCACAAACTCAATGCTATTCCTGTCAAACTACCACTGTCATTTTTCACAGAATTAGAAAAAACTATTCTAAAATTCATATGGAACCAAAAAAAAGCTCGAATAGCCAAAACAATCCTGAGCCAAAAGAACAAAGCCTGAGGCATCACATTACACAAATTAAAACTATACTAAGGCTACAATAATCGAAGCAGCATAGCACTGGTATAAAAACAGACACATAGACCAATGGAACACAGAAATAAAGCTGAATACCCGCAGCCATCTGATCTTCAACAAAGCTGACAGAAATAAGCAATGGGGGAAGCACTCCCTATTCAATAAATGGTGATACGATAGCTGGCCAGCCATACACAAAAGAATGAAACTGGACCCTTACCTTTCACCATATACAAAAATTAACTCAAGATGGATTAAAAGTTTAAATGTAGGACCTCAAATTATAAGAATCCTAGAAGAAAACCTAGGAAGCACCACTCTAGACATCATTCTTGGGGAAAAATTTATGACTAAGTTCTTAAAAGCAATTGCAATATAAACAAAAATTGACAAGTGGGTCCTAAGTAAACTAAAAAGCTTCTGCACAGCAAAGGACACTATCAACAGAGTAAACAGACAACCTACAGAATGGGAGAAAATATTCGCACACTGCATGCAGCAAGGGTCTAATATTCAGAATCTGTACAGAACTTAGGCAATTCAGCAAGCAAAAAATAAAATAAAATAAAATAACCCCAATAAAAAGTGGGCAAAAGAAATGAACAGACACTTCTCCAAAGAAGACATACAAGCAGCCAACAGATATGAAAAATGCTCAATATCACTAATCATCAGAGAGATGCAAATCAAAACCACAATGAGATGCTATCTCACATCAGTTGGAATGACTATTATTAAAAAGTCATAAAACAATAGACGCTGGTGAGGCAGCAGAGAAAAGCAAATGCTTATATGCTATTGATAGGAATGTAAATTAGTTCAGCCATTGTGGAAAGCAGTTTGGAGATTTCTTAAAAAACTTAAAGCAGAACAACCATTTGACCCAGCAATCCCATTACTGAGTATATATCCAAAAAGACACCTGTGCTCGTATGTTCATTGCGGCACTATTCACAATAGCAAAGACATGGAATCAACCTGGTTGCCCGTTAACAGTGGACTGGATAAAGGAAATGCGGTATATATACACCCACGGAATACTACACAGCCATAAAAAGAATGAAATATGTCCTTTGCAGCAGCATAGATGCAGCTGGAAGCCATTATCCTAAGCAAATTAATGCAGGAACAGAAAACCAAATACTGTATATTTTCACTTATAAGTGGGAGCTAAACATTGGGTGCTAATGGGCATAAAGATGGCAACAATAGACACAGGGAACTACTTAGAGGGGTGAGGCAGAGAGGCAAGGATTGAAGAACTAACTACCCGGGTACTACACTTACCATGTGGTTTGGGATATGAATTATCATTTTTCACAGAATTAGAAAAAACTATTCTAAAATGCTAAAGTATTATGAGATAACAAAGGGGCACGTACACCCCCTGAGTCTAAAATAAAAGTTGCTATTGTTAAATAAATAAATAAATAAAATGTCACCATTCCTTTTGTATTTAATAGTTGGCATTCTACCTAAGGAAGAGTTTGTTTTCCTTCTTGTGTTCTTTGTTAACTTATATAATCAGTGTGGACTCACGGATTTCTATTTTATTAAATGGCTTACAGTCAGTACCTACCATGATTTATTTTAATGCTCAAATCATGCCAACTTTGGCCAGTGACAGCTCCTTCAAATGGGCTCCTGTGTCCTTTTCAATGATCCCCATCGTTCTTTAAGACCTCCCTGACTTTCAGGCAGCATGAAATGCTCATCTCCTCTCCTATTTACCTTGCCCTGGGCTCGGACTTGGGAATTTTCTCCAAGGGGCTTGGGTTCCTCATAGTAGAGAATGGTATTTAGAGCCAAGATACACACACAAGGTGATCTTGCTCCCTGCTGCCCAAGTGTCACTGTCCTCAGGTCTCTCACTGGACAGAGCCAGAGAATGAATGAACAAATGCGTATATTGTACTTACAGCTATATTTTTTTTCTTTTTTTGAGACGGAGTATTGCTCTTGTTGCCCAGGCTGGAGTTCAATGGCACGATCTCGGCTCATTGCAACTTCTGCCTCCCAGGTTCAAGCCATTCTCCTGCCTCAGCCTCCCAAGTAGCTGGGATTACAGGCATGCACCACCACGCCCGGCTAATTTTTTTTTTTTTTTTTTTTGTAGAGACGGGGTTTCACCATGTTGGTCAGGCTGGTCTTGAACTCCTGACTTCAAGTGATCCACCTGCCTCGGCCTCCCAAAGTGCTGGGATTACAGGCTTGAGCCACCACGTCCGACCAGCTGTATTTATTTCTATACCTATCATTTTGAAAACCATGAGTTCACACTTATACTGCCAGTTCCAATCCAACACCACAGGGTTCTTTCTAGCTTTCTCTCTGTCTATATCTGTACCTCCCTTCTTATCTGTGTGAAACTACACTATTGTTGTCAGTGTATTTACATAGCTTCTCCCCTCCTCCTGCCCCACTGAATATAGCCCACTTCCATGCTGGGTTGGGTCCTGCCCTGTACTGACACCCTCTGTTATGAGGTTGGCTTGTGTCTCCCAAAAAGATATGCAGAAGTTCTAATCCCCAGTATGTCAGAATATGACCTTATTTGGAAATAGGGTCTTTACAGAAGTAATCAAGCTAAAATGAGGTCTTATGGGTGGGCCATAATCCAATATGACCGATGTCCTTATAAAATGGGGAAAGTGTGGACACGGAGACAGACAGCCCTAGAGATAAAACAACTGAAGACACACAGGAAGAAGAAAGTCATGTGACTGGAGGGATCCCACAAGTTAAGGATCACCAGGGATTGCCAGCAGCCACCAGAAGCTGGAAGAAGGCAGGAAGCATTCTCCCTGGAGACATCAGAGAGTATGGCGGTGCCAGCACCTTGACTTTGGACTTCTAGCCTCCAGAACAGTGAGAAAAGACATGGTTGTTATTCTAGCCACCCAGTTTCTGTTATGACAGCCCTAGGAAATTGACACACCCTCCTTGTTTGAGTCCTGGCTGCCCTTGGACTGCCTTCTGGCCCTTAGCAGACCTGCCCAGTGACTTTGACCGAAAAGGAAGAAAAAGAGAGAGGGAGTCTGGGATCAGAATATTAATACAGACCCATCTGCATCCAAAGGCTGTGTTCCTAACTCTTCTTTTTATAGGCTAATAGGCGAGACCAAAATAAGCCTATTAGCAAGCCGATCTTAGTAAGCTCTCAAGCAGGTGTTGGTGCACTCTGGTCTACACACCAAACATAGACTGCAGCCTCTTTTAGCTCAGCCCATGAGCTAAAAATGTTTTCTTTTTTAATTTTTAATGTTTTTAAAAATAGCAAAATAAGAATAATATTTTGTGATGTGGAAATTACATGAAATTCAAATATCAGTGTCCATAAATAGTTTTTTTTTTTTTTTTGAGACAGTCTCGCTCTGTCACCCTGGCTGGAGTGCAATGGCATGATCTCAGCTCACTGCAACCTCCGCCTCCGGGGTTTAAGTGATTCTCATGCCTCAGCCTCCCGAAGTCACTGTTGATGCTGCTAGAAGGGCCAGAGAGAGCCCAGGCTGGACAGGCAAAACCTGGCCTCGCCAGACTTCCAGAGCCTGCACAGAGTGTGTAGCTGAGAAGTCCGGATTCTGGTGCCAGACCGACTGCCTAGTGAGAAGCCTGGCACCACCGGGTCAGGTTAGTGCACTTTTTTTTTGTTTGTTTTTTGTTTTTGAGACAGAGTTTTGCTCTTGTCCCCCAAGCCGGATTGCAATGGTGCGATCTTGGCTCACTGCAACCTCTGCCTTTTGGGTTCAAGCGATTCTCGTGCCTCAGCCTCCCGAGTAGCTGGGATTGCAGGCACCTGCCACCATGCCCAGCTAATTTTTGTATTTTTAGTAGAGATGGGGTTTCACCATGTTGACCAGGCTGGTCTTGAACTCCTGACTGCAAGTGATCTGCCCGCCTTGGCCTCCCAAAGTGCTTGGGTTACAGGCATGAGCTATCGCACCCGGCCCATAAAGTTTTATTGGAACACAGCTACACTCATTCATTTTTGTTCTCTGTGGCTGCACAATGTTTTTGTGCTGCAGTGACAAAGTGAAGTCATTAAAGCAGATACTTTACGTCTGGCAAGGCCATATTTACTATCTGGTCCCTTACAGAAAAAGTTTGCCAGCCCTGTTCTAGCGTAGGCATTCAAACAGCATCCTATTGGAGTATGGGGAAAAGAGAGATGACTCAGTAAGGGAGGCATGGGAAGACTTCTAGGGGCAGTGACATGGGCACTGTGAAGGATATGAGATTTTGACATTTGTGGCCGGGTGTGGTGGCTCACGCCTGTAATCCCAACACTTTGGGAGGCCAAGGTGGGCGGATCACGAGGTCAGGAGATCGAGACCATCCTGGCTAACACGGTGAAACCCCATCTCTACTAAAAAAAATACAAAAAAAAATTAGCCGGGCATGGTGGCAGGCGACTGTAGTCCCAACTACTCCGGAGGCTGAGGCAGGAGAATGGCATGAACCCGGGAGTCAGAGCTTGCAGTGAGCCAAGATCGCACCACTGCACTCCAGCCTGGGCAACAGAGCAAGACTCCGTCTCAAAAAAAAAAAAAAAAAAAGATTTTGACATTTGTTAATGTATTCATCCTTTCAAAGAGCACTGAACACCTACTATATGCCAGGCAATGAAATATGGAGATGACATCATCGAATTTACAACTTAGAGAGGGCATGCTTCTACTCTGAGTTGGATGTCCTCTCTGTCCTATGCAGCAGAAGGAGAACCCCCCACTCAGAGCAGAAGCACGTGGAAGCCAGAGACTTATCTCTGAGGGGGTCAGAGGAGGATCCACAGAGGAGGCACCCCTAGAGCTGGACCTTGGAATCTGTGGAGGTTCTTGTCAGGCAGAGCAAAAGGTGTATCTGGCAGCCTTCTTGGAGGTGGCGGCTTTTGCCCTCCTTGAGATCTACTGTCTGACCTGGCTAACTGTGTAACTGTGAGAACACCATGCAGTCAAGGGAACCTCCAGTAGGACTGGCCCAAGACCCACTTCCAGGCTCACAGGTAGCAAGTGGCATCCCAAGGTCACAGCCACTCAGGGGCTGAGCTGAGGCCAGCGCTACCTCTTATGGCCTCAGTGAGGAATCCAGGAGCAAATGTGGGGTCCAAGCTTTCTACTCTTTCTTCGCCCTGTGCTCCAGCTTCTGGGACTTTGGGAATAAAGATGACCAAGGGAGGCTCAACATTGCCCCACATGCACAGGAAACTTGGTGAGATCCTGCCTCTGCCCTCCCCTGTTCCTCTGCAGAAACCCTAGTTGAGCATCTTCCATGTTCTGTTGTAGCTGCTTATGCTTCTGTCTCTCTCACTAGCCTGACAGCCAATCAGGAGCAGGGATTATATCGTTTATTTTTGATCTCTAATGTTGAGGAATTGTAGATGCTCAATTAATGTTTATTGAATGGACTAGGATATAGTTGAATTGAAGGGAGCAGACAGGAGGCGATTAGATCAAGTAGGAAAGACACTAAAAGGTGATTTCAGTAGGACATGTGTGGCCTCCCTACATCAATCTCAAAAGTTCCAGATTTTTCCAATAGTGCTTTTTGGGGTAAGTTCTAAATTCCCTCTATGGGTCTTACCTGGGAATTTATCTACCATCATATATATTTTTTTCAATGTTACCATATCTAAGTGGAGTTCCTTCTTTGTTCTTGAGCAACGGCAACTACCAAAACCTCAATTTATTATCTCCCTAGTGCAGCCAGCCCCGGTCCTGAAGGTCCTTCCATAAACAAGTTACACTCAGGCCCTCGTGCCCTCTTACCATCCCACCTGCTGTCAGACTGCATTTGTGATCATTTTGCTGTCCCTCCTGCAACCCCCTAGTCAGACCTTAATTAAATCTCCAAGAGCTTCCCACCAGAAGGTCCTGCCTCATACCCCTCTTAGCTCCTGCCCTTCCTCACAGGGCTGCCATGTTTGCACAACTCCAGGGGGCGCCATTCCCATTGTGTTCTATGGGATTGTAAATGGTTTCTCCTGAGTTGTACGGCACAATGACCCTGAATGGTCACCAGAGTGATGTGTTGCTCCCTTGCTCAAAAAACCCCACTTGAGGTCAGGAGGTCGAGACCAGCCTGGCCATCATGGTGAAACCCCCTCTTTACTAAAAATACAAAATTAGCTGGGCTTGGTGCTGCACACCTTTGTAATCCCAGATATTCCGGAGGCTGAGGCAGGAGAATCGTTTGAACCCGGGAGGTGGAGGTGGCAGTGAACCGAGATCGCACCACTGCACTCCAACTTGGGCAACAGAGTGAGACTCTGTCTCAAAAAACAAACAAACAAACAAACAAACCCATCACCCAGGGAATTCCCAATACCCAGGGCCTTGACTCTAAGCCCTTAGAGTTATTTAAGACACTCCAGAAACCTACCTTCCAGCCGTACGTAGCTTCACCCTTCCCAGCTTCCTTGAACCAGGTCATTTTCCCCAAGCCTGCTCTGAAACTCATCTCTCCTAAGACCTTGCGTCACGAATTCCCGTTTCTCTCTTCTATGTTTTCAAACCAAGTTGTTTTTCCCTCAGCCGTAAATAATCAGGCTGCACCCAGCTCTAAAAGCAGAAACCTTTTTTTTTTTTTTGGCCCCAGGCTCCTTCCCAAACCCCGTCCTTCTCCCCATTCTGTCATTCACTTCATTCTACTAACCCTTCTAAACACCTACTGGGAGCCAAGCCCTTGCTCTGGGCACTTAGGACATAGTGGTGACCAGAAAAAATGAGGCCTTTGAGACTGTTATAGTCTTGCAGGGGAGATACACAATCCACAATGAACATACTACATTAGTAAAGAATACAAGGCAAATGACACTTTGGAAGGTGAGTGTCAGTGCAATGGAACAAAGAAGTGGAGCCATTAGGGGACTAGATGGGTGATGGGAGGGCAGATTCCAACATTAACTGGGATTGTCAGGGTACACCTGCTCAGGCAGAGGATGTACTCAGCGTTCCTAAAGGGCCCAGCTGCACTCACTGTCAGCATTTCTTTCCTCTCACTTATTCCCCAACCCAGTGAAACCTGCTCCGCAAACGCTGCTTTGTCCACAGGGACCTTCCTTTTGCCCAGTTCTAGAGCTACCTCCTATTCTGTTGCAGCAGAATTTGGCATTGTGGAGCCTTCACTTCTGGAC
Source organism: Homo sapiens (assembly GCF_000001405.40). Classification (NCBI taxonomy): domain Eukaryota; kingdom Metazoa; phylum Chordata; class Mammalia; order Primates; family Hominidae; genus Homo; species Homo sapiens. Next base: position 36,903,263 of record NC_000022.11, on the reverse strand, counting down.
ACCTGTTTGTGCCTTGGCCTCCAGGACACAACACTTGCCTGTTTTCTTCCCTTTCTCTAGTGCAGGGGTGTCCAATCTTTTGGCTTCCCTGGGCCACATTGGAAAAAGAAGAATTGTCTTGGGCCACACATAAAATACACTAACACTAACGATAGCCAATGAACAAAAAAAAAAATCGCAAAAAAACTCATAATGTTTTTATGAATTTGTGTAGGGCTGCATTTAAAGTCATCCTGTGCTGCAGGTGGCCCACAGGCCAAGGGTTGGACAAACTCATTCTGTTGGATCTTTGGCACTCTCTGTTGTCATTTCCTTTCTTTGCCCATCCCTCAAGTGGTGGTGTTTCCAAGACCCCATACATGCTCTCGGCTCATCTCAAGCTGTGTCTCCCATAGAGAATTTCATCCACACACTCACTCTGAAACTCACATCTCTGTTTCTCACTGTAGCCCCTGGATACATCAACAGTCTCCTTTCTGTTTATGAAAGGCAAAGATCTTGCCCTCCTGCCACTGACTTCCTCTATATAATGAAATCTCAGGAACTGGGAAGGGGTGGGGTTCCTGGCAGAGCTGGTAGAAGGCAGTGGAGGGTAGAAGGCAGGGCGTAGGAGAGAGAACAAGTTCGTCTGCCTGCCCCTGGCTCCTGCTTCCCATATTCCCCTCCAGGTGGCTGAGCTAACGGGGAACAGACATGACAATATGGACGTGCAACCACGTGACTTAGTACAAATACCAATTTGGCCAGTCAATGGAGGAGCAATGAAGCAGCTGGATCCCAGATGTCACTCAGGCACAAGGTTCTGGTTGATCGTAGAAAACACCATTTCTTTTCATTGAACCACACTGACTTTCCACATAGCCACATGTTCCCATGTAGGAACCCATATTAACAATCACCAGACTCCCAAGGAAACAAGCCACCATGGGCGAGAGTCAGCAGAAACAACCAACAATAGATATAGACCTCCAAGGAACAAAGATCTTGGAAAAAATCAAATCTTGGATATAAAATACAAGGATATAAACCTTCAAGAACCAAAGAACTTGGAAAAATCAGATCTTGGATATAAAATACCTTCCTGTCCCCTGTCCCAAGAAGGTGGAACTTGATTAGTTGAAGCTACTCACAGTAATTTTCTTCTTTCCTGTGATTGGCTTACGAAGGATCATGTGATCTCAACCTGGCCAATGAGACAAAGGAAGATGTTGTTTCTACCTCTGGGCATCGCCCTTTGCATGTGATACCTGGAGTCCCCTCGGCCATCATCACTCCAATTCTGAACTGTCAGAGCGCAAAGAGGGGAAGCACCTGGGTTCTTGATGAGGTTGAGACCCTACACGTCCCTGCATGGTACTATTGTGTCTCCAGACTCTGTGTCTGAGCAATGACAAACCCCCTGTTCCTTGGCTACTTTCAGTGGTTTTTCAGTTGCTTGCAGCTGACAGCACTCTGCTGTACTCGCTAATATGCTGTGTATTCTGTTCCCCTTCGTGAAGGCCTTCTTTGTCTGCTTCACCTCTCTGTCATCCCTGCACCATCTCAGTGACTTTGTCCTGAACCTTTAGCTCTTCCAAAGCCAGAAAAGTGCCCAACACACATCTCACCAGCAGGAGCAACCTGAGCCGAAAGCAGGGAGCCCAAACCTCTGCTTCCCGACACCATGTTCTGGTTTTCAGGGGCAGGCCAAGGTGGTAAAGCAGATACCAGGAACCGAACTGTGTGGTTTGGAGTCATGAGGAAGATAAGAGCCATCAGCGTCTGATCTACCGCAGAGGCAGATACAGCAACTGCTCTCGAGTGAGAAGTTGCAGGAAAACCCCTTCATAAGAAACAATGCTCCCTTCTTAGAGATGGGGCTCTTTCTCAAGATCTCCAGGTAGGAGGCTTCAGGGCTGAGGGACTTCAGGCCATTACTGTTGGCAGGTAGAAGCTGCCCAAAGAGAGGGGTGTCCCCCCCGCAGGCTGATTACAGTGATGGGAAAAGCAGGGTTGTTCTGAGGGGCTGGCTGTCAACAGGGAGCTGGGCCCCAGGTGCAAAGGTAGGAGGGGAACAGGGATTGGGAAGGGCAAGGCAGTCTCCACCTTGAGCTTTCTAGGCCATGGGAAGGAATGTAGGAATTCAGCTGTCAGATGTTAAGTGGGCCCCTGCTGTCGGAAACAAAGCTGGCACCAGAATGAGAACGGAGAATTACGAGAATTACAGAGCACTGGGAAACAGCAAGTTTCCTCCTGCAAGTCCCTCTTGAGTCAGGTCAGGGCAGGTCCCAGGGGATAGATCTGAGCCAGTCTGGGGGTCAGGAGCACCAGGGGGCAGGAACCAGGCAGGTTTTCCCTGAGAACGCTGTTCTTTCTGTGGGGTTGGAGGCTCTGCCCTAGGTGAGAATGCAGGGCTCTGTGGGAGGCATCCCGGGAGGGACCTGGACAGACAGACCCTGTGAGTGTGGCTTGGGCACAAAGTTGCATCTGAACGAGGACACTCTAAGGGCAGTGGTGCCAGTGGAAGAGCCAGGAGACGTGAGTGTAGTGTACTGGGCCCAGAGAGGGCAGGCTGGGCTGGGGCCCTGTACAGCCCTGGGAGCTGGCAGAGAAATGGGAGGGACGCACATGATGCCTGTTCCTGTCCTGGGGATCCCCACCTCACTGCCACTGGCAGGGACCTGTCCAGGATACATGGATTGTTCAGACTCTGTCCCTACTTTCAAACACATGTCCCCTGTGGTCACCCTGAGACCCTGCTTCTCTCTAGACTATGGTTTTATCCAGACTGTTTGTTGCATCACTTGATTCCTTCAAGTTGATAGTTTCCTTAGTGATAGTTTGATAGTATGACAGAGGAAGTGGTAAGTATGTGTCCCGGGGTGACTGGCATGGGGGTGGGGAGCTAACTGGACACATAGGGCCACTCACACCAGATAGACTTATTTGGCAGGGCAGGGAGGAGTTGAGGTTTGGTGGGGTGGCAGATGAGGAGAGCTGACTGGATTCAGACGGTGTGGGATTGTCAACCCTGGATCCAGGGCCATCAAGGTCCCTCTCATCTGGGAGCTGCCCCAGGGACTTGACCCTCAACCGCTCCTTCCATCCAGCCCAGCCCATGGGGCAGCCTACAGTGCAGCTGGCCCTCCTATGGGTGCCAAAAATTCCCCACATTGCCTGCCTCTTCTCAAGGGCCCTGCCCCTGCAGCCTCAAGGGTTCCTGCTCCCCTGCATCAGGGCGCCTCACACCAGCCAGGAGGGCCTTCCACGTTCTTAGGATCTTTGTTTTCTTGCTAACTACAAGAGGAAACTTGACAGAGGTAGAAAATCTGATTGATTGAGGGGAGTCAGAAAGGTTCCAGAACTGTGTCCCATGCCCTTACTGTGTGCAGAACTGTGCTTTCATGGCCCTGGAGGAGAGCTCCTGTCCCTTTATTTCCATGAGGATGAACCCCCACTCTCAATGCTGCCTAAGGGAGTGGGCCCTGAGGAGGCCTTTACTGCCCACTTGGCACCAAATTACCAAGAGTGGAAGAAAGGCCAGCTGTCTGGTGGCCCCAGGCCAGCTGGAACTGGTCACCACCTTCCCCAAGGTGACCATCGTGGTCAGGCACAGCACATCAACTTTCTAGCTCTCCCTAGTCACTGCCAGAAACCCAGGCTCCCAGGACATCCCTTAAGACCCAACTTCATCCCCAAGTCCTCCATATGTAAGTCCTCTTAATAGCATCTACTGTCTGATCTCTCAGCCTTTCCAAGCTCTTCCCTGTACCTGTGGGAACTCATGGTCTAGCAAAATCCCCTGCTCTTTTTCTCTGACTGTTCTCTTCATTCCTGTTAGGGGTTGAATTGTGTTACCTAAAAATCCATATGTTGAAGTCCTAACCCCAATACCTCAGAATATGACCTGATTTGAAGACAGGGTCTTTACAGAGATAATCAAACTGAAATGGGGTCATTAGAATGATCCCAAATCCAATATGGCTGGTGTCCTTGTAGAAAGGAGAAATTTTGAGACAGACGCACATTCAGAGAGAGCACCATGTCAACATGAACACGCTTTGTGCAAGCAAGAAGAGGGACCTGGAACAGGTCCTTCCCTCATAGCCCTTGGAAGGAACCATTCTGGAGCCACCTTGGTCTCAGACTTCCAGCCTCCAGGACGAAGCCATCCATGTGGTACTTTGTTCTGGCAGCCCTAGGACACTCATGCCACCCTCTTGTGCCAACTCAAACCTGTCCTCCCTGAGCACACTGCTTCCTTGCAGTTCTCTCCATTGGAGGCTGATTTTCTCCTTCATTCCTGCCTTCTAGAAACCCCAGCTCATTTGCAGCTCATTCTGTGTTGCTGGCATCTACCAATGATCTGGTCAGCGCCCACCTATCCTGATGACGTCAGCACCCAGCTCTTGGTCTCCCTCCCTCCACTTCCTCAGGTTGCCATCTCCCAAGAGCCATCCAGCCAATACCTCGACCTCTTGGTCATTCACCTCATTAGTGGCAGAGCTGGAATTCAGAGCTAGTTTCTTTCCACACCAGCAGCAACCAATAGGTGAAGAACACCGGCCCTGGGGTTAGCCTACTTGGAGCTGATTTCTGGCCCTGCCACCTATGGCTGTGTGTTCCTGGGCAAGTCTTTTCATCTCTTTGGGTATTAATGTCTTTGGCCATGAAATGGGGATAATACTAACAATAGTATTTACTTCATGGTATTGTTATGAGGATTAAATAAGAAAATCCAAATAAGGATCTATGTGACACATAAACTCTGAAAATGCTATTATAAATAGCATATATAAATGAAAAAAATGCTGTTATTATTTCCTGGAAATAAGAGCATTCTAGCAGGTAGAACTTTGTAACCCAAGAGGATGGGAATAGAGTTAGAGAGAGGGCAGTCCAGGGGACTGTTTCCTTGATTACTTTATATAATAGTGGTAAAACGAGGTCTGAAATACAGAACTTCTAAGTCCCAGAAAATGACTGTAATAAATATGATCAATTTATATTTATTGTATCAGTCAGGGTCCAGTCCATAGACAGAAATCACACCAATTATCTGACCAGAGAGAACTTAACATGATTTGTTAATTAAGTATAGAGTTGTTAACTAGGTAACTAAAAGATTAAGAGAGTGAGCCAGAAAGAAAGAGAGAACTGTAAGGTATCATGGTGGTAACAACTGCAGGAAGCAGCTTTCACCCCTTGCAAAAGGGAAGAGGTTAAAATTATAAAAACTGAGAAACCAAGAGGAGGAAGATGAACCTGCGATCTCTGAGAAGGGGTCACTGTTCTACTGGTGTGTGTGTCAGTCTGTTCTTGTGCTGCTATAAAGAAATACCTGAAACTAGGTAATTTATAAAGAAAAGAGGTTTAATTTGCTCATGGTTCTGCAGGCTGCATAGGAGGCATGGTGCCACGTCCACTTAGCTTCTGAGGAGCCTCAGGGAGCTTTTACTCATGGAGGAAGGCAAAGCGGGAGCAGGCATGTCACATGGCAAGAGAGGGAGCAATCAGCCCCAAACAAGTTTGAAACCCGATAGGGCAGTCACTAAATCTTAAAGCTCCAAAACAATCTCTTTGACTCCTTGCCCTGCATCCTGGTGTTAGGGGATGCATGCCCTGCATCCCAAGGCCTTGGGCAGCTCCACTCTTGTAGGTTTGAAGGGTGCAGCCCTGTGGCTGCTCTCTTGGGTTGGAGTTGAGTTCCTGCAGCTTTTCTACACGAGGTCCTAGACTCTTTTAAACAACCAGATCTCATGTGGTTGTTGAACTAACTGAGTGAGAACTCACTCATCACCATGGGGATGGTGCTAAACCATGAGGGTTCCCCCACCCCCCCGTGATCAAATGCTTTCCATTAGGCCCCACCTTCAACACTGGGAATCACATTTCAACATGAGAGTTGAAGGAGATAAACATTCAAGCTCTATCATTCCTCTCCTGGCACCCCAATTCTCGTGTCCGTCTTGCATTTTAAAATACAATCATACTTTTGCAATAGTCCCCCAAAGTCTTAACTCATTCCATCCTTAACTCAAAAGTCCCAAGCTCCAAATCCCAAGTCCAAAGTCTCATCTGGAGATGAGGTCCTTCTGCCTATAAGCCTGTGAGATTAAAAACAAGTTATTTACTCCTAAGATACAATGGTGGTACAGCCATTGGGTAAATATTCCCATTCCAAAAAAGAGAAATCAGCCAAAAGAAAGGAGCAATCAGCCCCAAACAAGTTTGAAATCTGGCAGGGCAGTCACTAAATCTTAAAGGTCCAAAACAATCTCTTTGACTCCATGCCCTGCATCCTGGTGTGAGGGGATGCATATCCTGCATCCCAAGGCCTTGGGCATCTCCACTCCTGTGGCTTTGAAGGGTACAGCCTTGTGACTGCTCTCATGGGTTGGAGTTGAGTTCCTGCAGCTATTCTACATTGAGGTTGCAAGCTGCCAGTGATTCTACCATTCTTTCCCTTCCTTCCTTTCTTTCTTTTTCTTTCTTTCTTTCTCTTTCCTTCTTTCTTTCTTTCTTTCCTTCTTTCTTTCTTTCTCTTTCTTTCTTTCTTTCTCTCTTTCTTCCTTCCTTCCTTCCTTCCTTCCTTCCTTCCTTCCTTCCTTCCTTCCTTCCTTCCTTCCTTCCTCTCTCTCTCTTTCTTTCTTTCTTCTTTCTTTCTTTCCTTCTTTCTTTCTTTTTGAGATGGAGTCTCACTCTGTTGCCAGGCTGGAGTGCAGTGGTGCAATCTCGGCTCACTGCAACCTCCACCTCCTGGGTTCAAGCGATTCTCATTCCTCAGCCTCCCAAGTGGCTGGGATTACAGGCACATGCCACCACACCTAGCCAATTTTTGTATTTTTAGTAGAGATGTGGTTTCACCATGTTGGCTAGGATGGTCTCCATCTCCTGACCTCGTGATTGGCCAGCCTCAGCCTCCCAAAGTGCTGGGATTACAGGTGTGAGCCACCGCGCCTGGCTGACTCTACCATTCTTGATTCTAGAGGGCAGTGGCTCCCTTTCCACAGCTCCACTAGGCAGTGCCCTGGTGGGGACTCTGTGTGGGGGTTCCAACCCCACATTTCCCCTTGGCACTGTCCTAGTAGAGTTTCCCTGTGAGGGCTCCCCTCCTGCAGCAGGCTTCTGCCTGAACACCTAGGCTTTCCCATATATCCTCTGGAAACTAGGTGGGAGATGACAAGCCTCCTTCATTCTTGCATTCTGTGCACCTGCAGGCTTAATACCACATGAAAACTGCCGAGGCTCACTGCTTACACCCACTGGAGTGGCAGCCTGACTGTATCTGGAGCTCTTTAACCTGAGACTGGAACCAGAGCAGCAGGGATGCAGGGAACAGCATCCTGAGACTACACAAGGCAGTGGTACCCCAGCCTGGCCCCTGAAAGCATTGGTTCTTCCTAGGCCTTTGGGCCTGTGATGGGAGCAGCTGTGAAGATTTGCCTTCAAAGAAAATCTTGAAAACGACTTCAAGGCCTTCAGTGCCTTCAAGACCTTTTCCTCATTGTCTTGGATAGTAGCACTGATTCCCTTTTAGTCACGCTAATCTCTTTAGCAAGTGGTTACTCCACAAGACTCTTTTAAACATATTACTCTCCTGAAAATGCTATTTCTTTCTCTGTCACATAGCCAGGTTACAAACTTTTCAAACTTTTACACTCTGCTTCCCTTTTAAATATAATTCCAACTTTAGGTCATTTCTTTGCTCCTGTATCTGAGCATAGACTATTAGAAGCAGCCAGGTCCTGTCTTGAATGCTTTGCCACTTAGAAATTTCTTCTGCTAGATACCCTGGGTCATCACTCTTAAATTCAAACTTCCGCAGATCCCTAGGTCATGCATCAATGCAGTTCAGTTTTGTGCTAGGGATAAACAGGGGTGATCTTTACTCCAGTTCTCAAGAACGTCCTCATTTTCGTCTGAAAATTCTGTCAGCATGGACTTCACTATTCATATCTCTATCAGCATTTTGGTCACAAACATTTAACCAGTCTCTAAGAAATTCCAAACTTTCCCTCATATTCCTGTCTTCCTCTGAGCCCTCCAGATTCTTTCACCCTCTGCCCGTTACCCATTTCTAAAACCACTTCCACATCTTCAGATATCTTTATAGCAATGCCCTACTCTTTGGTACCAATTTTTTGTGTTAGTCCATTCTTGTGTTTCTATAAAGAAATACCTTAAACTGGGTAATTTATGAAGAAAAGAGGTTTAATTGGCTCATGGTTCTGCAGGCTGCACAGGAAATGTAGTGCCAGAATCTGCTCAGCTTCTGGGAAGGCCTCAGGGAGCTTTTGCTCATGGCAGAAGGCAAAGTAGAAGCAGACCCATTACATGGGGAGAGAAGGAGTGAGAGAAAGAGAGAGAAGGGAGAGGTCCCAGACTCTTAAACAACCTGCTCTCGTGTGAACTGAATAAGAACTCACTTATCACCAAGGAGTTGGTGCTAGGCCACTCATGAGGGATCTGGCCCCACGATCCACTCACTTCCCACCAGGCCCCACCTCCAACACTGGGAATCACATTTCCACATGAGATTTGGAGGGGACAAACACCCACACAGTATCAGCTGGTGCTGGTGTCTTGTGTGGGGGCCAGGGGAAAAGGGGAGTTTCTCATCAAAACTGGTTCTGCCAGGGCTGGAGAAGCTGCAAAATGGATTTAAATGCTGCCACAGGAAATAATTGCTGCTGCTAGGGTGAAGGGTGAAGAAGTATTCCTACAGTGAGGCTCACTGGAGCAGCAAGTAGGCAGGAAGGTGCAAGTCCTCTCTTCCTCCAACCTCACAGCTCACAGCTTCCCTCTAGCACCCAAGTTGGCAGAGGGTACCAGGAACCAGCTGACATCACTGTGGTTGGGAAGTCCCAAATCCAGTATCACAACAAAGTACAGAGGGATGAGTTTGGAGCTGAGAGATAATAGCTTAATAACTGGCATTGGCAGGTTTTTTTTATATGGGCGTAAAATAAGGAAATGGGCTGAGAGTGAGTTGGGAAGGGACTGGGTTATCTAATAAAAAGATGAATTCTTGTGGCCACATTTATCAGGGAATTCCCTAGTTTTCTCTGTTTATGAGCACTTTGACAGCCATTGAGTGACATCCTCCCAGAATTTAGAAGACAGGCCCTCACTCCAAGAGCTAAACTGTATAGTCATGCAATGCAAAGATAGGCCAACCACCTCATAAAACAGACAAAAAATGACAATCTGAGGGCAAAAGTTTGCAAAAACGTATGCAAAATACAGAGTTGGTATCCTGAATAGCAAGAGATATTATAACTAAGTAAGAAAAATATGAACATACTAATTAACAATAGTTCATAAAGGAAGAAATGCAAAGGGCCAATACATGTAAAAAAAAGTTTAATCAAACAGGCATGTAGCATCACTGGTGAGCCATCTCTGGGTCTCTGTACTTCAGGCTTCAGAAACATCTTGTCCCTTTTGCAAGACTTTGAACTCATTCATCCCATAGTACTTTTGTTGCTTTGGTATTCTTTGACCCAACCCCTTCTTCCAACACACAGACACACACACACACACAACACACACACACACACACACACACACTGATCTTTAGAGGTTCTATGATTCAGTCATGGGCACTCTAAGATTCTAATTACCCAGTTTTGAAAGTTGTAAAATGTTAGAATCAGCAAGAGTTAATGTTGCTGCTCAAGGGTTCCGCTTTTCAAGCAGGAGGGGCACAATCCCTAGGCCCAAATCACCAACCATCCCAACTTGAGTTATTTGGGCCGAAGTGTACATTATTGAAATGTCAAATGTGTGAACAAGTCCATCCTGCTCTGCAGGAAACTTGATGATGACTTCTCATAGCACTGCAGGAAGAGAATGCAGCTTGTGAAAGTCTATTTAACAGCCATAAGCATGTCTCATACACAGTTGCTGGATGGTTTACTGTTTCTAGGGACAGTTTTATTCCTTGAAGAAATTGTTATAGTGGCATGGCGGGAACAGGAGAGTATGCTGGAGGTCTCCATGTTTCCTCCAGATTCCAGCTGGCCTTTACTATGCCATAGTCGCCATTTCAAATTGCTTAGTTTCTTGGTAAAGCTTCTTTTTAGGTGGTCTTATTTTTTTAAGTCTGTGTTATTGATGGGTGCTGTGTGGCAGGCAATGTACAAAATATATTTCCTATTGTCGCAAAAACCATGCAACGAAGGGAGGTATGAAGATAAGGAATCTTATCTCCTGATACTTGACTTTTTCATTCAATCATGTTTCTAAGAATCATCCGTGTCATCATTGTGCTATAATCACTGTATAAACCTACTGTTCTCTGGACAGGTGTTTGGGTTGTTTACATTTGTTGAGAGCTATTACGAGGAGTGCTGCCATTATTATTAGACCATTTTACAGATGGGAAGACAGTCTCTTACCCAAGTTATCCAGCAAGGAGGTAGCAGAGCCAGAAACCATGTTTTTACCTCCAGGGCCTCATGGCCTCCCCTGCTTTCTTTCAGCATCTTCCTAACAGCCTCTAAGTGAGTGGTTGTCTGCCTTTCTTTTTCAGCATGAACTCCCTGCTCTCCACCCCCACTCCCATGCTCAGCTGAACCTGTCCTCCCTGTCCTTTGTCCCATTCCTCTTTCCCCCTAAGGACAAACCTCCAGCCCATGGTTATTGTAAGGTTATTCCCTGCACTTGTTTGCAGGGAAACAGAATATTAACCAGAACTTCAAAGGTGGAAAGTCCCAAAGTTTTCAGCCTGGGAAGAGAGCTCCAGGTCCCTCCAGCCAGCAATGCTAGGCTTGGACTCCTGCCTCACCATTTCCTCTCCAAGGGGAGGCTCACCACAGCCTCATCCCACCCTGTCTTTCAGGAAAACCCCACTCCTACCACGTGGCCAGCAATGCTCTCCTGGCATAACAGATCAAAGTAATTAATTTATGCCAAATGAAGTCAAAGCTCTGAAAACTGGAGAATAAGAATCTTTTATGGAAACCGATTTTTAAGCTTGTAAACTATATGTTACCTTTAATGTCATATTTGATACATGCAAAAGATTATGTGTAACCTATATGTAAGCCATAAAGTATAATAAACAGCTGTGAACCCACTCCCCCACCCACTCAACCCCAAGTATTCCAACAAATTTCAGTACCTGTTACTGATACTTACCTATGTCTTCCTCTCCTATGCCTTTGCTACCTCCCTCCCAAAAATAACCACTATCTTGAATTTTGTATCTGCTATTTCTGTTTATAGTACTTGAGCTTTAAAAAAATAGAATCTTATCTTCTGATAGTTGATTTTTCATTCAATTACATTTCTAAGAATCATTCATGTTGTCATTGTGCTATAATCACTGTATGAACCTACTCTTCTCTGGACAGATGTTTGGGTTGCTTACATTTGTTGGGGGCTATTAGGAAGAGAGCTGTCATGAATGTTCTTGCTTATGTCCCAGGGTCATGTGCAAGTTTCATTGCTGAGTCATAAGATATGGGAATGTTCAACTCTACAAAAAAATTGCAAACTGTCTTCCAGAGATTGAACCAGTTTGCACTCCTCTTATTACTACTGAGTATCTTTTTATATAGTTATTGACCATTTTTTTTCCTCTTTACTGGAATATCTAATCATGGCTTTGCCCGTTTTTTATATAGTTGTCCTTATTTTTCTTATTAATATGTGGGAATTCTTTATGTATTCTAGATACTAATCTTTTGTCAGTTACACATCTTGCAAATATCTTCTAGTCTTTGGCTTATCTTTTCTCTTCCTTGTGTCTTCTTTTTGTTTTTTGTTTTGTTTTGTTCTGTTCTGTTTTTAACAGGGCCTCTGTCACCCAGGCTAGAAAGCAGTGGTGCAGTTGTAGCTCACTGCCACCTCGAACTCCTGGGCTCAAGTGATCCCTTGCCTCAGCTTCCTGAGT